>NC_000007.14:153094743-153246258 GCF_000001405.40 Homo sapiens
CTGTGCTGGCAGTGGGGCAGTGGGCTACAGTAGCACAGAGCATGGTGTCAGAATCCTAGCAGGGTGGGGGATCCTGGTGAGGGGCCTGGCATGGGGTGTTGGAGCTTGAGGGGGTGAGGAGGGTGTCTATCCAGAGGAGGGAGTACAGGCTGATGTGGGAGACTGATTGCATTCAAGGGGACTGATCAGTGAAGTAAACACATTAAAGATATGAGAAGCCAGATTTCTTACTGGAGAAGGGGGTTGCCAAAATGGAGCTACAGATATGGAAATGTGTATTAGTCTGTTTTCATGCTTCTGCTAAAGACATATCCAAGACTGGGTGAATTACAAAGAAAAAGAGGTTTAATGCGCTCACAGTTCTACGTTGCTGGGGAGGCCTCACAGTCACGGCAGAAGGAGAAAGGCACATCTTACATGGCGGCAGGCAAGAGAGAAAATGAGAGCCAAGCAAAAGGGGAAACCCTGGAAAAAATCATCAGATCTCATGAGACTTATTCACTCCCACAACAGTGTGGGAGAACCATCAGCATGATTCAGTTATCTCCCACTGGCTCCCTTCCACAAGTGGGAATTATCAGAGCTACAGCTGAAGATGAGATTTGGGTGGTGACACAGCCAAACCATATCAGAAGGGAAATAGCTGGGATGAATATTGCAATGTTGGATTGACATTGGAGGTATTTGTGCAAACAAATAATTTGTATGTATGAAATGATTTTATATAAAGAATATATAACCTATCCATATGTATGAAAATATGGACATACGAATAGTTAAAGGAATAAATACAGATGTAAACGTGTATGTTGTACGCATAGACACACAGATATTCCCTAGTTCTGTCCACTGAGAGGAACTGGGAGCAGTGACACTCCTGCTGCAATGAGCACTCCAAATGCCCAAATTTGGCTTCTAAATATTATTCTCCACAACAACGAGCTACGGCTTTTTGGAGAAATGGCTGATACCAGGACTGGAGAAGAGAAAGTAAAGGTGAGAATGGACCCTCCTGTTTGGCCAGCAAACAAGAAAGTGCTCAAAGAATGATGGGGATAAGCCAAAGGGACACAGAAGCCATGTAGAGGACCTCCCACTGCCCACATCAGAGGGGATCTGAAGGTCAAATAGGTAATGATAGTGACAGATGTTAAACCATTGAGTAAAATAGAAAGCCAGGAGTTCATACCAATATAAATAGACAAATAAATAGATTGAAAATGTGATGAGGCATGGATATTTACACAGTTTCAGAGTATCTCCCCACAAAATATTTATTAATTACAAAAAAAGGAAAGAATAACTTTACATGAAGAAGCCTGGAAGATACCATCCTGTCCACATGGTCAGAGTGAAATCTCCAGCAATGGAAGAAATCCAAGTCACGCGGCACCTGAGGGATGCAATGAGGAGAGCACAGGGTCATGTCTGAGCTGCTGCGGCCACAGATGTGTCACCAGGATGTAACCACAAGAAAATGCCAGGCAAATCCAAACTGAGGGCCATTCTACCAAATAATTAGCCTGCAATCTTCAAAAGGATCCCGTTCATGAAAGTCAAGGAAAGACCTGAAAATTGTTTTAATTAAGCATACATAAAGATCAATGATAACGAAATATAACGTGTGATGTTTGAACATTTACATTACTCTTGTTGTAAAAAATGTATCAAGGCAGCTGGCAAAACTTGAGGGGAGTCAAAGAATTAGATGTTGGTGACGTATCACTGCAAGTTTCCTGATTTTGATGGTTGAATTATGGTTATGTAAGAGACCATCCTAGGTTGTAGAAAATACCCACTAAACCATTAGGATGGCAACATACTCTCAAATGGCTCAGAGAAGAAAAGAGGTTTTTTCTTGGTACTGTGTTGCAGTACAAAAAGTTTGTATGGCAAACTTTCTGTAAGGTTTAGGTGGTTTAAAAAATCAAGAAGGAGAATTTAAGTCTATGAAATGCTTTTACATTTATTATGTCTTGAAATTTTTGCAACAACTCTTTTGACAAAAAACAAAATGCTATCATTATTGTTTCAGACATCAGAAAAGAGGGTTCATGAAGTCAGTTAAGTGGCACATTCAAGGCAAAATCAGATCCTCAACCTGGGTCTCATAACCCCACATCCATTCCTTCTAACTGCATATTCTTTACTCTCGGTCCAAGGGATGCTCCCAAGGACCAGGCTAGGACAAGACACGTTAGGGTAATCACTCTGTCGGGTAATGGCTCTCAAACTTTTCTATGTTTGTAAGTCATGCAGGGAAGCTGTTTAAAATGCCTATTTGTAGTTATCACCCTTAAAGATTCTGATTCAGTAGTTTTGGAGTAAGAACCAGAAAATGTTTTTTTTTTTTTTTTCTTTTCTAACAAGCATTCCAAATGATTCTGACATAGGTCATCCCTGGGCCAGACTTTGAGGAACACTGAACTTGATTAATGGTCTTCAGTGGCTACTGAAATAAATTTAAATCAAATGCTGTGCCTGAGGTGTCATGATGGAGCCACATGTATTCAGAGCTAGGAGGTGAGGTGCACCTTCCGACTAACTGCAATACAGTCTTCACTTCATTTTAAACACACGAGAATTAGCAACATATAATGAAGTCATAGCACGCAGGCATTCTAAGACTTTAGGCGGGCTTGTCTTGCATCCTAGACAAGAGAGTTCTGCAGGAGACAGAAGAGTTAGGAGCTTAGAATCAGAGAAGTCCCTGTGAAAACCACCTTAGAAGTATTTCTTTACCTTGGAAAATCCATGTTGTTTATCCTCTTTGGAAGTGAGAACAATGATTATTCAGAGCTTTTTATCCTTCTGCTCAATGCCGGCTAAAGTATTCCCCCTTTAAGTCTTTGCATGCAGTAGAAGGTGGTCTTCAAAGGAAGCATCGTCTGCTGAAGACACTTCCAGGAAGAAGGAAGATTGTTTTTACCAAGGAAAATCAGCTTGAAATGTTTTAAAAATATGCAGAATGTCTGGGAGTTCTTCCAATACGCTTATGTTTAAGGTAAGCACAGCATGAATAAAATTACACTTCAGGAAAAGAAAAAAACTCCAAAAGTTTCTAAAGTATTTAGTGGAGGAAACACTTTCTTACTGAGAGAGAGAGAGGGGAAGGGAGGATGACGTTTGATGGAGGAGAAGCGGCAGCACCTTTGCCCTTACCCTCTTAATAGTTTGAGAACATGACGGTTTTCTGGTTTGGCGATGGTCCCAGGTTGAGCCTCATCTGTACTCATTGCTGGGAGTTGAACATGACCATGCATGTCTGCAGAACTGTTCTATAGGTTGGGCTATCAGGAGCCTATCTGCACAGTGCAGAGAGGAGAGTACTTTGCAACCATAAAAAAGGATGAGTTCATGTCCTTTGCAGGGACAAGGATGAAGCTGGAAACCATCATTCTCAGCAAACTAACACAGGAACAGAAAACCAAACACCGCATGTTCTCACTCATAAGTGGGAGCTGTACAATGAGAAGACATGGACACAGGGAGGGGATGATCACACCCTGGGGCCTGTCAGGGGGTGGGCGGCTAGGGGAAGGATAGCATTAGGAGAAATACTTAATGTAGATGACAGGTTGATGGGTGCAGCAAACCACCATGGCACATGTATACCTATGTAACAAACCTGCATGTTCTGCACATGTATCCTCACCATGCAGGTGAGACCCCCCCACACAGAAGGAAGATAGGGTTGCTGTTGTGTAAGACCAGGAAGGGAACATGGGACTCCAGTGTGGGCGTCCAGTGTGGGACTCCAGCGATCCACTTGGCACCCCTGGGTACTCCCTTGTCTGATTGTGGTTGCGAATTGACAAGAATAGCAACCCTGGCCTAAACTATGAATGATCCTCAGGGGCTCCCACCCCTTTAAGCAGGACTGGATCATGTTTAGTTCCTCAGGCTGCTGTAACAAAGTACTCAGACTGGGAGGCTTCAAACCACAGAACTTCATTTTTTCTAGAAGTCTGAAAACACACTGTCAGCAGGGCCACTCCCTCTGAAACATGCTGGAGAGAATCCTTCCTTCCCTCTTCCTGTTTGGGGAGCTCCTGGAAATCCTCGACTTATGGATGCATCTCTCTAATTGCTACCTCTGTCTTCACATTGGCCGTCTTCCCGCTGTTTCTGTGTCTTCTTTTCTTATATGGATGCCAGTCATTTGGAATCAGAGCCTACTCTTCTCCAGTTTGGCATCATCTTAACTAATTACATCTGCCAAGACTCTATTTCTAAATAAAGTCACATTCACAGGTACTTGGGTTGAGAACCTCAGCATATCTTTCTGGGGGACACAATGCAAATCCAAAACACCAGGTAAGCCATTGAGAGCAGTAGAGGTGATGACAACCGAGGAAGAAGGGAATTTATAAAGTGTAGTGAAGGAGGAAGATGATGAGGATGAGCTGCAGTTGCATGACAGGGCACAGCTGGTGCCATTGACCCCCATTTCTCAAGCTCCCCTCAGAAGGGGAGGCTCAGGGGAACTTTGGGGAATCTTCTCCATGTACATGTATGGAGGTGCGTTGGGTGGACATAGCCACCATGGAAGTGTGCCCCCCACACAGACCTCAGCCACCATGGAGGCGAACCCCACACAGACCTCAGCCACAATGGAGGTGAACTCCACACACAGACCTCAGCCACCATGGAAGTGAACCCCACACACAGACCTCAGCCATCACGGAGGTGAACCCCACACATAGACCTCAGCCACCATGGAGGTGAACTCCACGCAGACCTCAGCCACCATGGCAGTGTGCCCTACACACAGGTGTCAGCCACCGTGCAGGTGTGCCCCACGCATAGACCTCAGCCACCATGCAGAATTTATTCAGCTGCAAGAAGTGCAGTCAACTCACGACGTCCAGTTGTCAGCACATTCAGAGTCCACCTTGCCTTTCAAAATGAGGCTGCGCTCAACCTGAGGGGCCCCAGGCCATTGCTGAGCTCCACGGTGAGAGGAGTAGAGTCTCACCACTTCTGCCCAGAACCTCCGATGGGCAATTTTTGCCCCGAAGCCCCCCATTGAGTTTGCAGAGACTTTATCAGTGCTGTTCCACAGTATGAGATGATATTCCATCTTTCTTCTTCTCTCTTTATCTTTCGCAGGCACTCTCCCCTACTCACCACTCCATAAATCTCTGTCACTCCTACCTCCATCTCAGCATGTGCTTCTCAGGGGCACAAGCGTGACACAGTGTGTCAGGTGAGAATGATGGGTTGGGGCGGGGATGGAGCTGCCTGCTTCACATGTGGCTCCTTATTTCCCTCCCAGCTTCTGTCTCTGGGTATACAAATCTCTTTACTGTGTCTTTCCAGTTACTCAGCTCTCTTTCCCCCTCTCTCATTTCTCTCTACCTGGGATTCTATGTCCCATGACATGGAAAGATACACTACCAAATACAATCATTCAGTTGAAGTTTATGACCACTGAAGGCAGAGTAGGTAGAAGTCTGTGTCACACAAACATGAAGCTCAAACATATCCTAAGCACTGCTTGAAATGATTACTTGGCAAACATGTATCCCCTGGGGAGCTACCTCATTCAGTTAAGAATTTTCTTTCCTTGGATACAAACCTGCCTACAAGGAATAAAGAATTATACTTCTGTTATTATTAATGCATATTTAGTGTGAATATGAGTTTAATCCAGAGATTAAAAACTTGGAGCCATAAAGTAAATCTTGTAGAAGACAGAATATGCTGACATTTTAGTGAATGTTAATTCTGTTTTAGATGGGTGAGGTTTTGAAACAGTTGATTTGATTACCAACATGCTACTATTAGGTTGGTGCAAAAGTAATTGCGGGCCAGGCATGGTGGCTCATGCCTGTAATCTCAGCACTTTTGGAAGCTGAGGCAGGTGGATCACTTGAGGCCAGGAGTTCAAGACTAGCCTGGCTAACATGGCGAAACATCGTCTCCTACTAAAAATACAAAAATTAGCCGGGCGTGGTGGCGCGCACCTGTAATCCCAGCTAGGCAGGAGAATCGCTTGAACCCAGGAGGCACAGGTTGCAGTGAGTCGAAATTGTGCCACTCCATTCCAGCCTGGGCGATAGAGCAAGACTGCCTCAAAAAACAAAATACAAAAACAAAAAGTAATTGCAGTTTTTGCCATTTTTTAAATGACAAAACCGCAATTACTTTTGCACCAAACTAATACTATTTGTTGGATGCATCGATCGCTACTTAGGAACTGAACTGAACTGGATGGAACTGCACCATGAACATCCTGTAGACATTCACTGTTGGTGGTGAAACGAACAATCACAACATTCCATCAGTCATACTCATTGTCTTCTTAGCTGTCACTCATTAGATCCCTGCTGTGTGTGAGATATGCTAAGAAAAGTAAAATATGTTGTAAAAACAACAATGCAATTACTGAAATAACAGCTAGCACAAACTCCAGTGAGAATAAGATAATATGATATTTCATCACTATCCAGTAATTTATGCATGGGAATTACAATAATATGAATTGATCAGTATGACCAATTTAATTGTATCATTTCTGATCCTACATTGGGATAGGCTTAGCAGCAGAGGGGAACCCTAAGGTTAGTTTCCTGATCTGTGAGTCCTATGGTTTGAATGCATGTCCCTGCCAAATGTTGAACTGTGATCCCCAATGCTGGAAGTGGGGCCTGGTGGCAGATGTTTGGATCATTCATGTGGGCAGATCCCTCATGAATAGCTTGGGTCAACCCCTTGGTGATAAGTGGGCTCTTGCTCTGGGTTCACATGAGATCTTGTCATCTAAAAGTGTGTGCCCCCCGTTTCTCTTTCTCTCTTGCTCCCGTTCTCACCGTGCGATGTCCCTGTTCCCGCTTTGCCTTCTGTCATAATTGGAAGATTCCTGAGGCCTCCCCAGTAGCAGATGCTGCTACGCTTCCTGTACAGCCTGCAACGCTGTGAGCCAATTAAACATCTCTTCTTATAAATCACTCAGTCTCAGGTATTTCTTTATAGCAGTGCAAGAACAGCCCAATACAGTGAGGTAAGGGCCTTTATGGTAGGAAGGGACAAGGGGAAGCTTCTGAAACCCACTCACGTTTGGAGTCATTACAGAGATTAGTATCACCAAAAATAAAGGATGCTGGATGGTGGTTTCAATCATATGCCCAATTAATTCACCAGCCAGGCTTCTGTAAAAACAGGATGCATCATGGCAGGTGATAGTAGACAATGATTAGTACCTAGGTTGTAGCTCCAGTCACAGCTGCCACGCTGGCTCTGGGTCTTACTAGGGGGGCATCTTCACTGGAGTGGACCAACACAGCCTCTGCTGTTTGATACGTGGTTACTGACTTGCAAATGTTTTCTTCTTCTCTTCCTTTTTATTCTATCTCCTCCTCCTCCTCTTTTTCTCCTCCTCCTCTGCCTCCTCTTTCTCCTTCTTCGTTAAGACTAGCTCTGTTAAGATACAATTCACATATTATATCATTTATCCACTTAAAGTGTACAATTCAATGGCTGTGAGTATATTCCATATATGTGCAACCATCACCACAGTCAGTTTTAGAAAGATTTAATCATTACAATAATATGAATTGATCAATATGATCAATTAAATTGTATCATTTCTGATTCTACATTGGGATAGACTTAGCAGCAGAGTGAACCATAAGGTTAGTTTCCTGATCTGTGAGTGATATGGTTTGAATGCATGTAAAAAAGAAACCCTGTATCCTTTATCCCCCTATCTCCCTAGCCCCTCCCTGCAAGTCCTAAGAAACTACTATTCCAAGTTCTGCCTCTATAGAGTTCCCTGTTTTCATTTCTCTTAGGTAATTACCTAGAAGTGAAATCAAATGCTTTCTTCTTGGTAGTAATCAATAAGGAAGATCAAAATCAGTTCATCTTCAGAAAGGAGAAACAGTTTCTCATTCTCTGTCTTGCCCTATGGCTATGTGAACTTTTAGCTGTTTGTTATCATATATTCCAGAGAGACCTTGAACATCTCAACATTTCACACACTGCCACACTAATCCATAGTATTGATGACAATCTGCTAATTGAATCTGATAAAACCGAAAGTAGCAGGTATCCTAAATGCTTTAGTAATTCGTAAGTGAGAGCATGGCAGTGAAAACCCCGGGAATATTTGGGAGGCTGCCATATCAGTGAAGTTAGTAGGGGTCTGATGGTTTGGGACATGCTGGGATATCCCCTGTAAGGGGAATGAGAAGTTATTAAACTTGACCCTCTTACTGATAAGAAAGAGGTGTGTGTTTGGTGCGCCTCTTCAGATTTTGGAGGTAGCATAAGCACTTTGGAGAATATTGCCCTGACCCACTTATGGGCAAATGGGAAAGCTGTCAGTGTTTGGAAAGACAGAACAAGAGGGCTCAGTGGACAGTTCAAGGCAGGTGCAAGCTGCCCTAATGCTCAAGCATCTTAAACTAGGAGGTATGGCGGTGCTTGGAACGTCCACATTGGGTCGGAATGCTCTGAAGTCGGGAGAGGAGCTGTAGACAGAACTCTAGGCTTCTGGAGCAGGGCTGTGCCTGGGGCAACAGCGAGCTACTGTCTATTGGAGGAACAGCTCCCATGTGTGAATTCGGTGTAAACTTACTATAGCCCTGCCCCTTGAATCAACTGGTTGGATGAGTGCCTAAGCCAAAGACAAACCTACATGCGAGTCACTAAGCTGTGTATCAGAACAAAGGGGAAATGGTTGCCGGGCAGACCAACAGCCAGTGTCTACTACCAGCAGCCCCTGGTGGCAGCTGTACCGTTAAGAAGGCAAATTAATAACAGTACCTGGGGTGGGAGGATGCTCATCTTACTCAATAAAAACTGCATTCAGGTAGGACTTTTTGACACTAATCAGTTTGCTAATTATAATTATTTTCATTAAAGCAGGTGCTCAAAAACTTTCCACTTAGCAATGCGTTGTTGATGGTCTGAGTGACTGTATGTGGCTGGGGGCTTTTTAAGTTCAATTTCCTGATGAGCCTTTGATCAATAATTTGAAGCAATTAGGGTCAAGTTCTATCTGGATGTAGTTGTGCTCTGCCTCCATTCCTTTTCATTCTGTTGTTCTGTGAACATGAAGCTGCCCAGCAGCTGCCTTAAGGAAGCTGTGCTGGGCTTGCATCAGAGTGGCCTCTTAATAATTTGCTCGTAAGGAATTTAAAATCTGTGAATCTTCCTTGACTTATTAGTAAAGTGGGGGTAGTACCTAATGCCTAGGGATACTGAAGGTTCCATGAGAGTGGGAAGCACCTGCCTTGTGTCAAGTTATGGTGGGAACTTAAATTCGATTGGCCTGAACCTAACCGCTGTGGGGTCAACATGGGAGAAGTGGGCAAGGCTCAGTGCTATTCAGTGCCTGTCTTCCACTAGGATATTAAGACTCGGACAGTGTGACTCTTGATCTAAGACGAGTACAGTATGTCTGCAAGCACGAGACACCAGGGGGAGGTATGTTCCTACCTAAACATAAGACAAATTGTTAGCATAAAAAGAATTCACTTGTTTAGTGAGGTTTGAGATTGATCTCAGTCAATTGTATACTGGAGCCATGAAAAGGAGACAATGGCTCCCTAAGAGGCTGAGCCTCTTCATGTTGTCATCGTCTCTGTTTCTAAGCCCAGCTATAACAAGTCAAGTGTGTGCGACTGGGAGGGTGCACAAATGCCCCTCCCCTGCTGGCCAATGATTGCTCCTCTCACTGCAGCACCCTTGGCTGTTTAAGGAACCCTGGGCTCAGATAAGGTGTCCAGCTAAGTATTTTTGGATTTATTCTCCAAGAATCCAGACAAAGTCCTTAACAGGTAAGGTGAGTACAGATTGTGGGGCACATTCCCACGTTTTTATGGAGTCCCCTGACACCAAGCGGAATTTTGAATTCGGTAGCACCCTCCATTTTCTGATTAAGTTGGAACTTGGAGGTTGCAACTTGCTTAAGTTCACTTGGCAAGTCATCAGCACAACTTGGACTTGACTTCTGGCCTGACTTCAAGCCTACCCCAGTCCATGATGATCTTACCATAGCAGCGTGCTCTGAGGGACAGCGCTCAATTCCTACCCTGGGCTCAATTCCTACTCCCTGGGTGCAGAGGGTGTAAAGTGGGAAGCCTCTAAAATTACGACTCTTGACTTTCCTGATCTACAAGATTCATGCCATCCATTGCACTTTTAAAATGTAGTGTTTACTTTTGAACAAAGAGATGCACATATATGTTTTAAAGAGTGAAATTATTTTACAAAGCCAGTTATGAGAGAGAATATTTCTCCTCCTCCAGTATTCTCCCCAGAAGCTATCACTTTGAACTCTTCCAGCATATTTTATTGGTATTTACATCTATAACTCCAATTATCATGCTTATATTTCTGCTTTCTAAATGTTTCAGCTTTAGGCATTATCTTGTTTTCCCGTTAAGAAAGCTGAGGATTTAGCCTTTTTTCATCCAATTTCTCCACTACTCTATATACACACATTTGTTCTGTTTCTATCTTCCCAATATGCTATTAGTATAATTTTAGTTAAATCACATGTTGGTGTTTGTATTACTATGACTATGTAAATCTTATTAGAGCTGGGCTCTGTAGCATACTATGATTTCTTTTCTTTTTGATACAGCATAGCTTCTTTCCTTGCTTCCCTCCTTTGTTCCTCCCTTCTTTACCCCTTCCCTCTCCCTCCCTCTCTTTTTCCTTTTCTTCCTTCCCTCCCCTCCCCTTCCTTCCCCTCCCCTCCCCTTCCCTTTTCCCTTCCCTCTCCTCCCCTTCCCTTTTCCCTTCCCTTCCCTTCCTCCCTGCTCTCCCTTCCCCTCCTCTCTCTTTTCCTTTCTTCCCCCCGGCCCCGCCCACTGCCACATTCTCCCCTTCCTGCTCCCTTCTCCTCTTGTTCTTCTTTCCTTAATATTCTGGGTACTGATCATTCATTCAATCCCCAGTTCTCTCCCTGTTGTGCAAATCTCCTCTCAAGACATTCACATACATTAGGCAGAACATCGCTTTCATCTTCTTGAATAGATGTCTCCTGCAGCCTTCTCCAGCTGGGTGGCATCATCCTCCTTTTGCTGATAAGAACCAGGAAGAGAATGATTCAGAGCCACCGGGCCAGCCAGTGAGTGGCTGTGGCTCTTATCCAAGTCCCTGAAACACACACATTTATGCCAGAAGTCAACTTTGTGTTGCATCGGCCCATTTGTTCCATTATTTGTCCTTTCCTATAAGCCAGCGTGTCTCTAAGCATATCAATATCTGGCGTCCTGTTAGTCCAAATCCCCATTGGCTTTATTTGCATCTGCTGCTTGAGGGTTGGGGATATAAATACCGACCACAAAGTGCCTTCTCAATCTTCGAAGATAAATTTCATCAGTATCCAGTAATTTATGAGTGGGAAATAAGATATTTATTTGTCTTTTTCTGGTACATTTGTAATGAATGTGTATGGAAATTTGATATCAGAATATTTAATTTCCAAACATGTCTCACTCTTTAAACATCCTAACTGCAGGTGGGAAAAGGAGATATTATGCATAAAAGTTAATAACTTAAGAAATCTTATTACAATGCTTTATTCTATTCAGAACTCTTTCACTTATAAAATTGCACTTGCTTATCACAAGCCTCTATAAGTTAGATAAGAAGGGATGTATTATTCTTTACACCCAGAGATATGAACTAGTTCAAATTCAAGTTTATTCAGTGACTAAGATCACACTACTTACACTTTCAGGATTTTGGCCTCAAAGATTCCCCTATGTGAATACTGGCCCTAAAAATACAAAAATATCTGGATGTGGTGGCGTGTGCCTATAATCCCAGCTACTCAGGAGGCTGAGGCAGGAGAATCACTTGAACCCAGGAGGCAGATGTTGCAGTGAGCCGAGATTGCGCCCCTACACTCCAGCCTGGGCAATGGAGTGAGACTCCGTCTCAAAAGAAAAAAAAGCTAGAATAGAAACTCATAATATACGACCTCTTCTTTTCTCCTGGCTCTATCACTCCCATGGCAGTCTATCATGGGGGAGGGAGGGAGACCAGAGGCTGCTGGAGAACGTTGGAACCCTTTTGGTGGAGGGAAGTTAAGCACAGTGGGATGCGGACAGCTGAGCTTGGGGGATTTCTATTTCAGAAAGTGTTGGCTGAACATGGCTATTTTTTACTGAGGTGAAATTTATGCAACATAAAATTAACCCCTTTAAGTGTACAATTCACTGGCATTCAGTACATTCAAATGTTGTGCAACCACCGGTTCTGTGTAGTTCCAAAACACTTTCCTCACCCCAAAATAAAATCCTGTGTCCAGCTACCCCCATCCCCGCAACCTGCTAGCTCCGGGGAAATGCCAATTTGCTTTCTGTCCCTGTGATTGATCCATTTTGGATATTTCATACAAATGGAATCATATAATATCGGTCTTTCACTGGGGCCTGTATCAGAACTTTATTCCTTTTTATGGCTGAATAATATCCCATTGCATGAATATAAACAATTTGTTCATCCACTCATGCACTGATAAATATTTGGGTTGCTTCCACTCTTTGACTATTGTGAAGAGTGCACCATGCACACTCACATATTTTTTGAGTCACTTATATATTTTCAGTTCTTTGGGGTACATATTAGGAGTGGAATTGCTGGTTCATATGACAATTGTATAGTTAACTTTTGAGGAACTGCCAAACTGTTTTCCACAGCAGCCACACCACTTCAAACTCCCACCAGCAACGTCTAAGGGCTCCAGTTTCCCCAAATTCTTTCCAACACTGCTATTTTCTGATTGTTTATTATTGCCATCCCCATGGGTATGAAGCGGCATTTCAGTGTGACTTTGATTTGCATTTCTCTAATGACTAATGGTGTTGAACATCTTTTCATGCGTTACTGGCTGTTTGCACATCTTCTGAATGTAAACTTTTAACAAAAGGTATTTTGTCATCTTGTAACCATTTTAGGCAATATTTTCAGGATTTAGGAAATTCAACAAAGCCTCAATAATGTGCATTCCCCCCATAACCTGTAAGTAGACATAGGATCAGGGTGGGATGGGATGGCTGGAAATAAAAGACCTACGCTCTGATGTTCTCCTCCACTTCCACCCTGCTGACTTCTTGCCGGGCAGGCTGTTTTGAAAACATTATCGTGCACTGAGCAGGAAACCTTAGCTTTTCTACAGTTCACACATTATTTTCTCTGGCTCTTTGTATATCTAGTATCCTTCCAAATAGGTGTATGTTTAGGACAGAGCTGGGCACAGCTGTGCAGAGTAATGAAGCTGGGGTCCCTTGAGCTGCCCGTGATATTGCTTCAATAAAGAGAACTCGGAATGCAGGCTGTGGCATTACACTGCATCCCATTTAGTCTCCTCATGGGAAACTCCACTGCTATTTAGCTCTTCCCGAATCTTGAGCTAACAATTTTAGACAAACCATGAATTTGCTGGGGGTCAGGAGGATGGTGTATTCTCAGCTTCAGATAGGCAGTAGATATAAAATAAGTTAGCTCCTACCTTCTTCTCAGTAGTCACTGAGAGCATGACATGCCCCTACTTAAACACCTCCCCTGGCTGCCCCGCTCACGGAATGAAATCTGTTTAGCATCCTGCAGGCCCCACGTGGCTGCCCCAGCCCTCCCTCCCACGGTGTCTAATACTCAAACTGCCCCCTCCAGGCTCCAGTCACATCAGCACAGTTTATCTTTTACATATTTATTTTATTTTATTTTTTGAGATAGGGTCTAGCTCTGTTGCCCAGGCTGGAGTGCAGTGGCACAACTCTGCTCACTGCAACCTCTGCCTTCCAGGCTCAAGTGGTCCTTCCACCTCAGCCTCCTGAGTAGCTGGGACTATAGGCGCCTGCCACCATGCCTGGCTAATTTTTTGTGCTTTATGTAGAGATGGGATCTTGCTATGTTGCCCAGGCTGGTCTCAAACTCCTGGGCTCAAGTGATCCACTTGCCTTGGCTTTCTAAAGTGCTGGGATTACAGGTATGCACCACTGTGCCCGGCCCCACTTTCTATTTTAAACCTGCCAAGGTGTTCTGCCCCAGAACCCTGAATATGAAACTGTGAAAACACAGCCTTGGCCAGCACATGCCCCTGTTCGTTCTGGGTGCGGAACACCCTTTCCTTCATTCTTCTCCTCCAGGTCTAACCAAGTGACATCCCACCTTTGAGAGGCCTCACCTTACCCTCCACATCAAAAATAGCATGCCTCTTCCCTTGACTCACAGTCCCATCGCCCTGTTTTCTGAATTGCGTTGATCACACTATATAGTACAATGCTTTAATGATGATGTCTTTGTTATTGCTTGTTTTGTCTTCCCCAGTAAAGCAAAAGCCCCTGAAGGCACAGACTCTGCTCCTTACGGCTCTGTCCTCTGTGTCTAGAATAGTGCTTGCCCACAGGAGGCTACCAATGAGTGTGTGCTCAAAGAAAGGCTGGGTCACGGAAAGTTGTCCAGCAGTAACACCAACATGGAATTTGGGCCCTTTCTTGCACATAGCACATGTAAACAGAAAATAGAGCAGGGCTGTGGTGGGATTCTGGAATAAGTAGACCTTGATCTACCCATCAGTCTTGGCATCTTACCCTCCTGGTACCTGGAGACATTGCTGGGGTCCCCGTCATCCCATCCTCCATGGCCCAAGGGACTCCTTGGTAGGTAGGACTTCTCCTGTAGCTCAGGGATCCTGGCAGTGACTTCAAAAGGTTGCTTTTCCACCTCAGACTTTGTGCTGACACTTCCTACCTCCCTGCTGTTTTAGTGGCAGCCTTGGGACTTCACAGCAACTCAAAGAGACTCGCCGAGAAGACTTTGAGGACCCTATCATAGTGCACAGTGGGCACAGATGGCAGCGTTGGAGCAAGTGTATATGGGCAGCTGAGGCTCTATCCACAACACTGTCAGTGTTGTGTTTTGTAGCTTAATAGTCAAGGCTTCCTATAGGAAACTATTTTCCAGCACTGTCAGGAATGGGATTCCCATGAGTGTGGGTTGTACATCCCATGGTTGTTCTTGGCATCCAGACTTATGCAGATGCCTCTGTGCACGCCACCTGGGTACGGACTAACACAATGTCAGCTGGAGTGCCGAGGCTGTGTGTGACGGTGGAGGATACGGGCTGTGGCTCTCAGCAGTGCTTTGAGATGCTGGTCCCCTGAAACACATTAAAAACCCTGCAGCAGCCTACAGGATTTACTTTTGATGTTAGCATACGGCTGGCAAAAATTTCATAGTCAGCGAATGATTTTTTTGGCAGTGTGAATGTACACAGTGTGTGACACTCAATTTACTAAACTAGTTTATGAAACTTTTATTTTGGTCTTCATGATGCCACATCCTTGTTTCATGAAATAATGACTTTTAAAGTGGTTGCTTTAGTGTCATAGAGAGAACTTGAGTGTGCATATTAATCTTTTTTTCAAATAAAGGAGAGTAAAACATCGTAGCTGGTTTTAGTAATTGTTGAGTATATCAAATAAAATGCAAACATTTGTGGAGAAATAAATGAGAGGCAGATTTCTTTTTTCTTTTTTTTTTCTTTTTTTGAGATGAAGTCTCACTGTATCACCCAGGCTGGAGTGCAGTGGTGCAATCTCGGCTCTCTGCAACCTCCGCCTCCTGGGTTCAAGTGATTCTTGTGCCTCAGCCTCCTGAGTAGCTGGGATTACAGGCGCCCACCACCACACCTGGCAAATTTTTGTATTTTTAGTAGAGACGGGGTTTCACCATGTTGGCCAGGCTGGTCTTCAACTCCTGATGTAAGGTGATCCGCCCGCCTCGGCCTCCCAAACTGCTGGGATTACAGGTGTGAGCCACTGCACCCAGCTGAGAGGAAGATTTGTAACACAGCCGCTCACTGTGTGAACTTGGGAAAGTTACTCAACTTTGTCTTAGTGTTTATCTGTCAAGTGGGTCAATTTCTGTTTAATCACCTTGCAAGATTTTTGTGAAGTTCCTGCTAGAGAAAATTCAGAGAGGAACTACCTTGTTTATGGCTGCACAGCTGGTTAGTGGCAAAGCCCGCATCTAGCTGAGGTCTGTCTGGATGTGAACTCTCTCCAGCTCACACCAGCATGTGCCCTACACATCCGGTGCTCAGGAGGGAGGCTGTTGGGTTTCATTTAATGGTCAGAGGAGAAAACCAGGTGACAGCCGGTTTCAAGACAGCGGAGCTTCAGGCAAGGTTTGATATGCAGGTGCTACAGGCTGTGCTATCCCAGGGCAGAAAGCGATGGAGAGGGCAGGGAGCAAGGGTGGGGAAGAAGTCCAGGTCCATGTGAGGGCATTGGCCCTGCTTTCCTTGGAGCTGCTGGGAGACACACTGGGTCACTGTGCTTGTGCCCTTGCTTGGCCACATGGAAGAAACCCCATGCTTTGCAACAGTCAGTTTGGGAGAAGGGAGAGCAAGTTTCTGTGCCCTGTCTGCCCTTGGCCTCGTGATATTGACCTGCCCTGCCTCCTGGGGTATCAGCTGCTCCTTGAGCTGCCACAGGGAAGGCCAGATCCTGTGATGTGGCGTTTCACTTGCATTGTGGACGTGAAAGATGGTCAGAGACTCTGTGTGTTCTGCTGGTGGCTGGGAAGATGCACTGGTTCTGGCCAAAACCCTGGCCCCTCTGAGGAGGGCATTGAACAGGAAGGAGGGATGAGGTGCAGGATGCACTGGCCTTCAGTGTCATTAGGCTGAGATGTTAGCTAAGACAGGTAAGCAGCCCGGATCCAGGGGACAGAGGAGGCGCAGGGAACCTGAGAGCTGCCCAAGGCTCACCTTTCAAGCTGCCTGAGGGTTGGCATTGGCATCGGTGAGTATCGGACACACCATATCCTGATGCTGTCTGATAAGGTTTAGACCAGGCAGTAAAAATCCTGTCCTTGCGGCAGCCGGAGAGTTCCAGCTTCAAGTCTCAAGAGTCTGATGTCTGTACTTTAAAGTAACTTTTAAAAGGCTAAAAAAAAGGACTCTGCTCATGCCTGTAATTCCAGCACTTTGGGACGCTAAGGCGGGCGGATGACGAGGTCAGGAGATCGAGACCATCCTGGCTAACACGGTGAAACCCCGTCTCTACTAAAAATACAAAAAATTAGCTGGGCGTGGTGGTGGGCGCCTGTAGTCCCAGCTACTCGGGAGGCTGAGGCAGGAGAATGGCGTGAACCCAGGAGGTGGAGCTTGCAGTGAGCTGAGATCGTGCCACTGCACTCTAGCCTGGGTGACAGAGCGAGACTCCGTCTCAAAAAAAAAAAAAAAAAAAAGGACTCTGGCACTTTTGAGAGATGGGAAAGGAGCTGCTAAGGTCAAATGCAGTCTGTGACTGGGCCATACACATAGTCAGACTCACATGACATACAGAAAATTGGGCCAAAGCATGCCCTTCATTAAACAGCTTTCTCATCCACCCTCCAGAATTCCAAAAATACCTCCCCTGGACATTGAGTTGAGGCAAACTTGGTGTCTGTAGCAGCTGCCATTGTCCAGTGGACGACCTTCCTTTGCTTTAAGATGTAATATCTTAGACTTGAGGCGCTGTACTAGACACTGGACATGGCAAGGAGGATACAAGAGCACATGATATGTAGGCCTTGTTTCTGTGAAATTCCAACTTGGTTATCAGCAGTGTTAGTGGGCTGTCAGGTTAGCTTCACCCTCCAGCTATATATATATGTGTGTGTGTATATATATGTATGTGTATATATGTATATATGTATATACACACACACATACATATATGTATATATGTATACATGTATATACACACATACATATATGTATACATACATATATGTATATATGTATCTATATTTACACACATACACATATGTATATATATGTACACATACACATATGTATATATATGTACACATACACATATGTATATATATGTACACATACACATATGTATATATATGTACACATACACATATGTATATATGTACACATACACATATGTATATATGTACACATACACATATGTATATATGTACACATACATATATGTATATATATGTACACACATGTGTATATGTACACACACATGTGTATATGTACACGTACACACATGTGTATATGTACACGTACACACATGTGTATATGTACACGTACACACATGTGTATATGTACACGTACACACATGTGTATATGTACACGTACACACATGTGTATATGTACACGTACACACATGTGTATATGTACACGTACACACATGTGTATATGTACACGTACATATATGTGTATATGTATACACACGTACATATATGTATATATATTTTATATATAAAAATACATATGAGAAATATATATTTTTTGAGATAGAGTCTCACTCTATCACCCAGGCTGAAGTGCAGTGGTACGATCTCAGCTCACTGCAACCTCTGCCTCCTGGCTCAAGCCGATTCTCTTGTTTCAGCCCCCAAGTAGCTGGGATTATAGGCATGCGGCACTGTGCACAGCTAATTTTTGTAATTTTAGTAGAGACGGAGTTTCGCCATGTTGGCCAGGCTGGTCTCGAACTCCTGACCTCAGGTGATCTTCCCACCTCAGCCTCCCAAAGTGCTGGGATTACAGGAATGAGCCACTGCGCCTGTCCAGATGAGGAATATTTGATGGGAAAGAGGATGGGCGCTCAGGAAGCGGCGTGTAGATTGGTCTTTAACAGATAGGGGGCAGCAGAGAAGGGTTTGGCACCTGGTGATGGGGAAATCCTCTGCAGGAAGATTGAGGCATGAACAACCAGCTTTTACGTCCGGGTTTTGTTGTGGGCTCTTTGACTGTGGGTCGTAGGCTTCCTGCGTTTGTGGTCTTTTCCAGACAGACAAGGTAGATTTTTATCGTGGGAAGAGTTTGGCATCTGGTGTCAGAAAACCTTGGTTTGAGCACTGGCTTCACCCTTGACCTGCTCCGCATCCTTGGTCACATGGTCCAACCCGAGTCTTTCTCTTACATCGTGAAGTCGTAAGGAGTGAAGGAATGTATGGAAGAATGTTTGTCAAGATCTTATTATTGTTTTTGTTATTGGAATTATTCTCTTATCTCCAACTGGGACCATATCTTTTCCTGTCTGCATTCCCCAAAGTACAGTCTGCCTTAAAGCTTAGTAGATGCTAAATAAACACTTTCTGGCCGGTTGATGGAACAGGATCCCTCCCTTTGCTCCCCAGATTTTCAGGAATATGCCCTGGCCTGTTGGTGTCACTTCCCAGTGAAGTGCTAGGGTGCTCCGAGGTCACAGAGTGTTGCTCCTGTGGAAGCCTTCCCCTTTCATCTTGCAGAGAGGAGATGTCTCTTCATTTCAGTGGACTCTCACTCTCAGATTCTGGGAGAATTTTGTTCTCGTCATAGTGAGTTAGCTGACTTGCGTGATTCATATAGAAAAAAACTCACTCTGAATTTAACGTGATAGGCTTGTTAAATGACAACAAAGTGGTCACCAAAAGTGCTGTGCTGTAACTTAACCAGAGTAAACCTGATGGATGGAGGCAGCACCTCCAACTAAGCTGAACTCTATGACTTCCTTGTTTATTCAGTCTGGATGATAGAATTCATATCCTCCCAGTGCTCCAAAGAATACTACATGGGAGGAGGCTCCCTGGCTACATCAGGGACGGTAAGGCTCATGATTCTAGCAGAAACACCTGGATGCCAGAACTATTGTTTTCCACTGGCTTTGTGTATTAGCATTATCTCCATAACCTTTCTGTAAACTCTTTGAAGACAGGAATGCTGGCTGCTGGGAAGGATGGAGAAAAAGAATTAACACAAATGGAACACTTGCTTATTGAAAGAAACACACGTGGTCACCCAGAGAGGATATAATCATTCAAAGAAGAAAGTGGGAAATGAGAGAGAATTCTTAGGATACATGTAAAGCACACGCCAGTATTCAAAAGCCACAATACTAGTATTCCAATCAGGATCAATTTCCTTTTGATGTGTTAATGCAAGAAAACCTTAGAATGGAAAACATAAATGCTTCAAAGAGCTGCTCAAAATAGTGGAAGTAGAAAAGGTCCTATTTTCCCCCACCCCACTATCTATATTTGTGTGATATGAAAATGCTTTCCAACTATATTTAATAACACTGTACTGTATAAATAAAATTTGCTAAGAGTAGAACTTGTGTTCTCACTACACACACACACACACACACACACACACACACACACACGGTCATTATGTGAATTGATGATTATATTAATTCGCTTGACTATAGTAATCGGTTTACTATGTATATGTATATCAAAACATCACACTATACACCATAAATGTATACCATTTCAATAACATTTTTTAAAACCCAGAAATAAAAAATAACACGTAGTATGGTTGTATATAATTTATTTAACTAGCCCCATAGATTATTTCAATTATTTCCAAACATTGTATAGCTAAAAGACATAGTTATTAATATATAATTCCACACAAGTGTAAGGATAAATTTCTAGAAATGGAATTTTCAGGTAAAAGAAATTTGCATTTGCAAGATTGATAGATCCTACCAGATTTCTTTCCTTAGAAAATATACTGGCTTACTCTTTTATCTACAGTATACTTATGTTTTCACATTCTTGCAAACACAGTGTTATCTTAATTTTTTTTTGCAGTATAACAAAAGGATTTGTTATCTTAAAAAATATTAACTTTGACATGCTTGTTAGACATGGAGATGTCTGGTAAGCACTTATAAATAAGTTCCAGGAGCTCAGGAAGAAAGTTAGACTTGCAGATATAAATGTGGTTGTATATAGATAGTAATGAAAACCATAGGACCAGATGAGGTCACCCAGCACCTGAGTATAGTTAGAGAAGAGGGTACCTGGACCTGCAGTGGCTTCTTTCATAGACTTCAGTGAGCAAGTCCTTGGTCCTTTTATGAGCTAATTGTGTTTCATTGATTTGGTGTTTATCTATGTGCCAAAAACACATGTTTCATTTATTATAAATTCATTACGTCTTTCTGTAGGGTTTGCCCACCTGTGATGTTTGTATGTTGATAAGAAATACCCAATCAATAGAGATAATTTGATAAGAAAGAAGAAAAAGGGAATAGTTGCAGGATTAAAGTTCATGAGTAGATGAGAGAGGGTGGGATCCATTACCTTTGCCAGTGCAAGGATTGACTCTAGGTAGCGGAGGTGTTCATTTCTTAGATGAGAAAGAGGAACATTTGAGCACAGATTTCTCTTATATTTCGTTTATCTATTTTGATAGAATTACATTGAATGTATACATTAATTTGAAAGAAATTAATGTAATTAGTACATTGTATCTATTCATCCATGAACAAGGTATACCTCTAATCTGTTTTTTCTTATCTTATTGCACTTGCCATAAGACTTGGCATAAAAGACTGCCAATGTATTTTACTGGACTTTATTGGAGATATTTGATGGAGATATACTCAATAAGTATGTTTTTCAGAGATTTCAGGTTAGGGAAGTTCCTTCTATTCTTGCTAAAACATTTTTTTAAAGTTAATTTTTTTAAACAGCTTTAATGAAGTGTAATTTACATATCACAAAATTTGCCCACTGTAAATGTACAATTCAGTGATTCTTAATACCTTTATAGAATTGTACTGGCATCACCACCAGCTAGACTTAGAATATTTTCATTTCCCAGCAAGTTCCCTCATGCTGTTTGCGTAAAACATTTTTCTGATTGTGAGTTAATGTTGAATTGTTTTTCTGCATTAAAATGAAAATAAAAGAAAAAATGCTTTTCAAGCAACAACTTTTCTCATATACTAGAAACTAAAAATAAGAGTCGACTTGATAATTCTAAAAATAGCATGGGAAAATGTAAACTCATTATGGCAGGGAGGACAGCAAGCCATTCACGAGGGATCCAACCTGATGGCCCAAACACCTCCTACTAGGCCCCAACTTTAACGATGGGATCACATTTCAATATGAGATTTAGAGGGGACAAACATCCAAACCATAACAATACCCAATAGAAAGTTAAATGTTAAATAATAGGGAAGATAATGAGCATCTTTTCCCTCCGCTCTCTGTTAAGGGAGATGTGCCTAGTGTTTCTGCATTATGTAGGATGCTGGTTTTGGACTGAGGTATATACACATTTCCATGTGAAGGAAGTATCTATTGATTCCTATTTTATTAATGTACTTACCAGGACTAAATGTTGATTTTGTGGGCTTTTGTTGGCATTTGATCTTTTCTATACCTATTAAAAATAAACATATGATATTTTTCTTCTTAGATCTTGAAAGGTGAATTACACATGCAGATTTCTCATTATAGAGCCATCCTTGCATTCCTGGAATATATCCTATATAGTCATGATTTCTCTTTTTTTATCTTTCTTTTTTTTATTATACTTAAAGTTCTAGGGTACACGTGCACAACGTGCAGGTTTGTTACTTATGTATACATCTGCCATGTTGGTGTGCTGCACCCATTAACTCGTCATTTACATTAGGTATATCTCCTAATGCTATCCCTTCCCCCTCCCCCGACTCCACGACAGGCCCTGGTGTGTGATGTTCCCCTTCCTGTGTCCAAGTGTTCTTACTGTTCAATTCCCACCTATCAGTGAGAACATGCAGTGTTTGGTTTTTCGTCCTTGAGATAGTTTGCTGAGAATGATGGTTTCCAGCTTCATCCATGTCCCTACAAAGGACATGAACTCATCATTTTTTATGGCTGCATAGTATTCCATGGTGTATATATGCCACATTTTCTTAATCCAGTCTATCATTGTTGGACATTTGGGTTGGTTCCAACTCTTTGCTGTTGTGAGTAGTGCCGCAATAAACATACGTGTGCATGAGTCTTTATAGCAGCATGATTTATAATCCTCTGGGTATATACCCAGTAATGGGATGGCTGGGTCAAAGGGTATTTCTAGTTCTAGATCCTTGAGAAATCGCCACACTGTCTTCCACAATGGTTGAACTAGTTTACAGTCCCACCAACAGTGTAAAAGTGTTCCTATTTCTCCACATCCTCTCCAGCACCTGTTGTTTCCTGACTTTTTAATGATCGCCATTCTAATTGGTGTGAGATGGTATCTCATTGTGGTTTTGATTTGCATTTCTCTGATGACCAGTGATGATGAGCATTTTTTCATGTGTCTGCTGGCTGCATAAATGTCTTCTTTTGAGAAGTGTCTGTTCATATCCTTCGCCCACTTTTTGATGGGGTTGTTTTTTTCTTGTAAATTTGTTTGAGTTCATTGTAGATTCTGGATATTAGCCCTTTGTCCGATGAGTAGACTGCAAAAATTTTCTCCCATTCTGTAGGTTGCCTGTTCACTCTGATGGTAGTTTCTTTTGCTGTGCAGAAGCTCTTTAGTTTAATTAGATCCCACTTGTCAATTTTGACTTTTGTTGCCATTGCTTTTGGTGTTTTAGACATGAAGTCCTTGCCCATGCCTATGTCCTGAATGGTATTGCCTAGGTTTTCTTCTAGGGTTTTTATGGTTTTAGGTCTAACATGTAAGTCTTTAATCCATCTTGAATTAATTTTTGTGTAAGGTGTAAGGAAGGGATCCAGTTTCAGCTTTCTACATATGGCTAGCCAGTTTTCCCAGCACCATTTATTAAATAGGGAATCGTTTCCCCATTTCTTGTTTTTGTCAGGTTTGTCAAAGATCAGGTGGTTGTAGATGTGTGGTATTATTTCTGAGGGCTCCGTTCTGTTCCATTGGTCTATGTCTCTGTTTTGGTACAAGTACCATGCTGTTTTGGTTACTGTAGCCTTGTAGTATAGTTTGAAATCAGGTAGCATGATGACTCCAGCTTTGTTCTTTTGGCTTAGGATTGTCTTGGCAATGCAGGCCCTTTTTTGGTTCCATATGAACTTTAAAGTAGTTTTTTCCAATTCTTTGAAGAAAGTCGTTGGTAGCTTGATGGGGATGGCATTGAATCTATAAATTACCTCGGGCAGTACAGCCATTTTCACGATATTGATTCTTCCTATCCATGAGCGTGGAATGTTCTTCCATTTGTTTGTGTCCTCTTTTATTTCGTTGAGCAGTGGTTTGTAGTTCTCCTTGAAGAGGTCCTTCACATCCCTTGTAAGTTGGGTTCCTAGGTATTTTATTCTCTTTGAAGCAATTGTGAATGGGAGTTCACTCATGATTTGGCTCTCTGTTTGTCTGTTATTGGTGTATAAGAATACTTGTGATTTTTGCACATTGATTTTGTATCCTGAGACTTTGCTGAAGTTGCTTAGCAGCTTAAGAAGATTTTAGGCTGAGACAATGGGGTTTTCTAGATATACAGTCATGTTATCTGCAAACAGGGACAATTTGACTTCCTCTTTTCCTAATTGAATACCCTTTATTTCTTTCTCCTGCCTGATTGCCCTGGCCAGAACTTCCAACACTATGTTGGATAGGAGTGGTGAGAGAGGGCATCCGTCTTGTGCCAGTTTTCAAAGGGAATGCTTCCAGTTTTTGCCCATTCAGTATGATATTGGCTGTGGGTTTGTCATAAATAGCTCTTATTATTTTGAGATACGTCCCATCAATAACTAATTCATTGAGAGTTTTTAGCATGAAGGGCTGTTGAATTTTGTCAAAGGCCTTTTCTGCATCTATTGAGATAATCATGTGCTTTTTGTCTTTGGTTCTGTTTATATGCTGGATTACATTTATTGATTTGTGTATGTTGAACCAGCCTTGCATCCCAGGGAGGAAGCCCACTTGATCATGGTGGATAAGCTTTTTGATGTGCTGCTGGATTCAGTTTGCCAGTATTTTATTGAGGATTTTTGCATCGATGTTCATCAGGGATATTGGTCTAAAATTCTCTTTTTTTGTTGTGTCTCTGCCAGGCTTTGATATCAGGATGATGCTGGGCTCATAAAATGAGTTAGGGAGGATTCCCTCTTTTTCTATTGATTGGAATAGTTTCAGAAGGAATGGTAGCAGCTCCTCTTTGTACCTCTGGTAGAATTCAGCTGTGAATCCATCTGGTCCTGGACTTTTTTGGTTGGTAAGCTATTAATTATTGCCTCAATTTCAGAACCTGTTATTGGTGTATTCAGAGATTCAACTTCTTCCTGGTTTAGTCTTGGGAGGGTGTGTGTGTCAAGGAATTTATCCATTTCTTCTAGATTTTCTAGTTTATTTGCATAGAGGTGTTTATAGTATTCTCTGATGGTAGTTTGTGTTTCTGTGGGATCGGTGGTGATATCCCCTTTATCATTTTTTATTGTGTCTATTTGATTCTTCTCTCTCTTCTTCTTTATTAATCTTGCTAGCGGTCTATCAATTTTGTTGATCTTTTAAAAAAAACCAGCTCCTGGATTCATTGATTTTTTTGAAGGGTTTTTTGTGTCTCTATTTCCTTCAGTTCTGCTCTGATCTTAGTTATTTCTTGCTTTCTGCTAGCTTTTGAGTGTGTTTGCTCTTGCTTCTCTACTTCTTTTAATTGTGATGTTAGGGTGTCAATTTTAGATCTTTCCTGCTTTCTCTTGTGGGCATTTAGTGCTATAAATTTCCCTCTACACACTGCTTTAAATGTGTCCCAGAGATTCTGGTTTGTTATGTCTTTGTTCTCATTGGTTTCAAAGAACATCTTTATTTCTGCCTTCATTTTGTTATGTACCCAGTAGTCATTCAGGAGCAGGTTGTTCAGTTTCCATGTAGTTGAGCGGTTTTGAGTGAGTTTCTTAACTCTCAGTTCTAGTTTGATTGCACTGTGGTCTGAGAGACAGTTTGTTATAATTTCTGTTCTTTTACATTTGCTGGGGAGTGCTTTACTTCCAACTACGTGGTCAATTTTGGAATAAGTGTGATGTGATGCTGAGAAGAATGTATATTCTGTTGATTTGGGGTGGAGAGTTCTGTAGATGTTGATTAGGTCTGCTTGGTGCAGAGCTGAGTTCAATTCCTGGATATCCTTGTTAGCTTTCTGTCTCGTTGATCTGTCTAATGTTGACAGTGCGGTGTTAGAGTCTTCCATTATTATTTTGTGGGAGTCTAAGTCTCTTTGTAAGTCTCTAAGGACTTGCTTTATGAATCTGGGTGCTCCTGTATTGGGTGCATATATATTTAGGATAGTTAGCTGTTCTTGTTGAATTGATCCCTTCACCATTATGTAATGGCCTTGT
Organism: Homo sapiens; assembly: GCF_000001405.40. NCBI lineage: Eukaryota > Metazoa > Chordata > Mammalia > Primates > Hominidae > Homo > Homo sapiens. The sequence continues at coordinate 153,120,793 of NC_000007.14, forward strand.
TTGTCTCTTTTGATCTTTGTTGGTTTAAAGTCTGTTTTTATCAGAGACTAGGATTGCAACCCCTGCCTTTTTTTTGTTTTCCATTTGCTTGGTAGATCTTCCTCCATCCCTTTATTTTGAGCCTATGTGTGTCTCTGCATGTGAGATGGGTCTCCTGAATACAGCATACTGATGGGTCTTGACTCTTTATCCAATTTGCCAGTCTGTGTCTTTTAATTGGAGCATTTAGCCCATTTACATTTAAGGTTAATATTGTTATGTGTGAATTTGATCCTGTCATTATGATGTTAGCTGGTTATTTTGCTCGTTAGTTGATGCAGTTTCTTCCTAGCCTTGATGGTCTTTACAATTTGGCATGTTTTTGCAGTGGCTGGTACCAGTTGTTCCTTTCCATGTTTAGTGCTTCCTTCAGGAGCTCTTCTAGGGCAGGCCTGGTGGTGACAAAATCTCTCAGCATTTGCTTGTCTGTACAGTATTTTATTTCTCCTTCACTTATGAAGCTTAGTTTGGCTGGATATGAAATTCTGGGTTGAAAATTCTTTTCTTTAAGAATGTTGAATATTGGCCCCCACTCTCTTCTGGCTTGTAGAGTTTCTGCTGAGAGATCTGCTGTTAGTCTGATGGGCTTCCCTTTGTGGGTAACCCGACCTTTCTCTCTGGCTGCCCTTAACATTTTTTCCTTCATTTCAATTTTGGTGAATCTGACAATTATGTGTCTTGGAGTTGCTCTTCTCGAGGAGTATCTTTGTGGCATTCTCTGTATTTCCTGAATTTGAATGTTGGCCTGCCTTGCTAGATTGGGGAAGTTCTCCTGGATAATATCCTGCAGGGTGTTTTCCAACTTGGTTCCATTCTCCCCATCACTTTCAGGTACACCAATCAGACGTAGATTTGGTCTTTTCACATAGTCCCATATTTCTTGGAGGCTTTTTTCATTTCTTTTTACTTTTTTTTCTCTAAACTTCTCTTCTTGCTTCATTTCATTCATTTGATCTTCCATCACTGATACCCTTTCTTCCAGTTGATCAAGTTGGCTACTGAAGCTTGTGCGTTCATCACGTGGTTCTCTTGCCATGGTTTTCAGCTCCATCAGGTCATTTAAGGACTTCTCTACGCTGGTTATTCTAGTTAGCCATTCGTCTAATCTTTTTTCAAGGTTTTTAGCTTCTTTGCGATGGGTTCAAACTTCCTCCTTTAGCTCGGAGAAGTTTGATCATCTGAAGCCTTCTTCTCTCAACTCGTCAAAGTCATTCTCCAACCAGCTTTGTTCCATCGCTGGCAGGGAGCTGTGTTCCTTTGGAGGGGGAGAGGTGCTCGATTTTTAGAATTTTCAGCTTTTCTGCTCTGTTTTTTCCCCATCTTTGTGGTTTTATCTACCTTTGGTCTTTGATGATGGTGACGTACAGATGGGGTTTTGGTGTGGATGTCCTTTCTCTTGGTTCGTTTTCCTTCTAACAGTCAGGATCCTCAGCTGCAGGTCTGCTGGAGTTTGCTAAAGGTCCACTCCAGACCCTGTTTGCCTGGGTATCAGCAGTGGAGGCTGCAAAACAGCGAATATTGGTGAACAGCAAATGTTGCTGCCTGATAGTTCCTCTGGAAGCTTCATCTCAGAGGGGTACTGGCCATGTGAGGTGTTAGTCTGCCCCTACTGGAGGGTGCCTCGCAGTTAGGCTACTCGGGATTCAGGGATCCACTTGAGGAGGCAGTCTGTCTGTTCTCAGATCTCAAACTCCGTGCTGGGAGAATGACTACTCTCTTCAAAGCTCAGTTGGAAATGCAGAAATCACCCTCTTCTGCGTCGCTCACGCTGGGAGCTGTAGACTGGAGCTGTTCCTATTCGGCCATCTTGGAACCACCCCCCAGTCATGATTTCTTAATATTAGGAATGTCATTGATTTTTTGCCATTATTTTATTTTAGATTTTTACATTGATAGCTGTAGATGAGATTGGTCTGTAGAATTTTGTTTTGGTTCAATCTTTAGGAGAATGAAATATCAAAGGTACATGCAATTCTTAAAGAATTTGTGAGTTTTCTTCCTTTTTCTGTTGTGCTCTAAAATAATTTAATAGGCATTAGGATAATGTATTTTTATAGATTTCTCCGTGAAATCATTTAGGCCTAATGTTTTGAGGGATATAACTTTTAAATAATTTTTTCTATTTCTTTTCTGGAAATTAATATTAACTTTTTCTCAATGTAGTATATCTCTTTTGGTATTCAATTCTCCCAATATTACGTTCTCTTTTGTTAAATAAACAAGTGTAAGCTGGGTGCGGTGGCTCATGCCTGTAGTTCCAGCACTTTGGGAGGCTGAGGTGGGTGGATCACGAGATCAGGAGATTGAGACCATCCTGGATAACACGGTGAAGCCCTGTCTCTACTAAAAATATAAAAAATTAGCTGGGCATGGCTAATTTCACAGGCACATGTGCCTGTGATCCCAGATACTTGGGAGGCTGAGGCAGGAGAATTGCTTGAACCCGGGAGGCGGAGGTTGCAGTGAGCCGAGATCCCGCCACTGCACTCCAGCCTGGGTGACAAAGTGCGACTCTGTCACAAACAAACAAACAAACAAACACAAAACAAGTGTAGAATTTTTCCAGTGTAGAATTGTAATTATATTACCATTTCCTTTAATATATGTTTTTTGAGGCATTTTCTTAGTGATTGTCCTGGGGGTTATCATTAATCTCTTAATTTGTAAAAACCTAGTTCAGGTTAATACCAATTTCACTACAATAGACATAAAACTTTACTCCTATGTAGCTCTGTACCCCTTTTATGCTATTATTTTCACAAATTTCACTTTAATATATCATGTGCCTATCAAGTTAGATTTATAATTATTGCATTATGTAGTTGGGTTTTAAAATAGATTTTAAAAAACGAATTGTGAACAAAAAACTACATTAACACCGACTTTTATGTTCACTCCTGTGGCCATCTTTTTTGTTTTTGAGACTGAGTCTCATTTTTGTCACCCAGGCTGGAGTGCTCCCTGCAACCTCCACCTCCTGGTTTAAGCGATTCTCCTGCCTCAGCCTCCTGAGTAGCTGGGATTACAGGTGCACAACACCATGCCCAGCTTATTTTGTATTTTAGTAGAGGATGGGTTTTACCATGTTGACCATGCTGGTCTCACACTCTTGACCTCAGATAATGCACCTGCCTTGGCCTCCCAAAGTGCTGGGATTACAGGCATGAGCCACCATGCCTGGCCCATGTGGCTATCTTAACTGGTGCTCTTTATTTCTTTGTGTGGACTCACGTTACTGTTAGTGTCCTTTTCTTTCAGACTAAAGGACTCCCATTAGTATTTCTTGAAGGGCTGATCTGATAGCAACAAACTCATTAACTTTCTTTTTGGGGGAAATGTCTTAAATTTCCCTCCACTGTAAAAGCAGCTCTATTGAGATATATTTCACATATCCCCCAGTTTCCCCATTAAAGGCATAACATTCAGTGGTTTTTAGGATATTCACAAATATGTGCCACCATTGCCACAGTCACTTTTAGAATGGTTTCATGATCTCAAAGGGGAACGATTTATCCTTTAGCCATCAGACTCCTAAATACAGTCTATACAGTTTGGGAACAATTGATTTGGAACTCTGATCTGAGTTTTGTGTGATGATTGGGCTTAGATTAAAAAGGGTTGTGTAAAATTCTGATAATATTTCCTATGTTTCCTGAAACTCTGCTAAGAGAAACTTGTCACAACTGGTATTGTGAGTAAAACAACACCCATCGGGCGGCCCCCTTGTCTGTCCTCTTTCTTGGATGATAAAGCTTTTGTCTTCACTGAGGTCCAAGCGAGCAGGAAGAAGAGCATTTGGCCAGGAGACTACTTGGCTGAGTTAAGTGGGAGTGGCTGCAAGGTCATCCTGGTGTTTGTCAGTGGGATGCTATTGCATTTTGGGTAAGACGACTCTCATTGGGTTGGTCTACCGTGTGTATTTCAAAGTGTTAGGCATCTCTGCCCCCTCTCTCCTAACATCAAGTTTTCCCCCATGCATTTGCTCCACAGCAGTACTCTAAGATTTCCACATGTCCTTTGGGGGTTGGTACTATCATCTAGCAAGTCCTTTATGTCAACCTCTAGAAGACACTCCTGAGCTTGGAATGTGATGTTACACACACACACACACACACACACACACACGTATATTTTCTGGGATCAAAGCTTGGCAGCTTTTTGAGATTTGTGTACGGCTCCCTCTTCCATGCACCTGGGTCTCTGAGTTTGCCTTAGGATTATAAGTGATCTGGCAATGCATTGACTTCGTTCCATCATTTGGAGTTAGAAATTGTTAAATCTGGACTTTGAATCTTGAGATACCTACCATTTTATTATTCATTCCCACACCAACTCCTACCTTCTCCCAAATAAATGTCTGTGCCTCACATTTGCTTTTAATTGCAATGGTCTTGAAAAATTCAGAAATCCCTGAGGGTAGAAATTTTTCATGTGGGATGGTGACATCAACTCAAGACCTTTTGTAATATGAATGCTTTCAAAGTAATGAAGTCTTGAATGTTTTTGCTTTCAATAAACCAACCACTGAAACAGCATATAATGTCTCCAAAGTTTGTCCTTCTGTCAGTGAGGCTATAGCAACTCAGTAATACTGAATATCTATTAATTCACTTGTGTTGAGGCCTAGAAAGAACTTTACGTGTTCATACCTTCATGTCTTTGGTTAAGCTGATAATGTGTCACTCCCACCTCCCATGGACAGAACTACCTTGAGAAGAAGTAACTTACAGAAGGTCATATATTTGCAATAGGGCCAGAGTTAAACACTGACCCCCACCTTGTCCTCTGGCAGCCAGGTGACTCTTGGAGAATTAGAGAATTCTCTTCTTGTTGCTGCTCACAGAACAGCCAGCCCATCACTGAGTCATTGGGGTAGCATGCCAGGATTATCATATAACTTACCCGGTTGAAAAATACTCACTTGGTCTCCTAGGGCACAACTCACTCCAAAAGACATACTTCAAACCAACGCATTTTACAAATATATGTAAACACATCTTAGCAGTTAGTAAGTACATAGAATGCATCCAAGACCAGTTGGTTTCAGTTCCAACCTCTGAGCCTTTGTTAGGCTATTCTTCTTGCCTAAAAGCTGCTTTTAGAAAATCAGTGACCACTCGGTAGATGATATGATATTGTTTGAATGCTCTTGTTTTTTCTTTCTTATTTAAAATATTTCCAACTCCTATTTCAAAGTGTGACTTAAATTCTACTTCTCTCATTAAACCCTGTCTGATTATGACACCCTCTAACGAGCTCTTTTCCTGAGTGTGTTTACTATATTTAACATCTTTTCCATCTACTTGAGCACTTAAAACAGCGCCTTACACGACAGCATCTCTCTAAGCAGCTGGCGGGCAGAATGGTTTCCATATTCCTTGTAGAACTTGCAAAGGAGACATGAAGTACTCAGGTGAGATTTGTGTGAAATTCCAGAAAGAATTCTACCTTTCTGTGCCGGAATTCAAGTTTGCTTACTTTGTTTTTTAAGTGAATTCCTTAATACATATCTACGATAGTGTCTTCTTAAGCATCCCAGGACAGGGGTCGGTATCATGGCTGTGAAGTGCAGTTTTGCCTTTTGAAGCAGAGGAGCATTTCTGCCTGCTCACTATCACAGATGTGTTTGCCTGCCCCCTTTTATCTATGGTCTTCATTTTAATTTGTTTTTAATTGCCTATTTGACACACCTAGCAATTAAGGTGAAATGGGCTCTTTGACAAATGTGAGAGCTTTTAAATTAGTGCTAATTGCTTTTGTTAATTAAAAATAATGCTTTATATGGTGTTATTGGTATTCTCTTACATGAAACTGGATTAATGACTTCCAATCAATCCCACTACAAAGACCTTTCTTTGTAATCACTGGGACTTTAGGGCATGAAGCTCCTGCAGCACGAGAAAAGATGGCTAGAACTTCAGGACGAGTGAGAAGGGAGATGGGTGAATGACAGCACAAGGCTGGTTCCGTTGCTGGCTCTGCCCACGCCCATGCCCACTAATTTGGAAGTTCACTGAAAGCCACTGTCTAGGGGGTGGTGTGGGCTGCTGCATCAGTCAGGTTTCCCACAGGAAACAGGTGACAGACTGGAAGCAGGATGATTTGAGGGGGATTTGATAATGGGACTATTTACAAAGTTCTGGGCTGATTAAAAAGGGCAGCAATGGAAAGAGCTGTCACCAACCTTAGGTCAGAGCAGGGAGGGGAGGGGAAGATCACCGGAGCCTGGTACCTGGAACAATAGCCTCATGTAGCAAAAGCTGCTTTTAGAAAATCAGTGACCACTGGTGGACAGTATGATATCGTTTGGTGTTTGTCCCTTGCTACGTTTGTTGTTTGTCCCTTGCCACGTTTGGTGTTTGTCCCTTGCCATGGGAAATCATTTCTATCACAACAAACACACGCTGCTTTCTGGATCCAGCACCCTCTGGAGTGTTCCCACCTGCACTCGCCCCACTCCTGGCAGTACTGGTTGTCTTCCCTGATTCTAAGGGCAGCTCTTGGTCTGGGATGGCCCTTGGCGTTACTGTGAAATGGGGTGAAGGCAGGCCTTAATTTTCCTTCAAAAATCGGGCATGGAATACCACCCCCCACCCTCATGGCATTGGGCTGGTGGCTGTCTCCAGCCAAGGGCAGAGGGTTTGAAGAGCAACTCTATCTGGCCTCCCAGGAGTGAGCATCTCCGTCAGCTGGGATGGTTGCTGGCCAGCACTCCCTGCATCCACTTCACTTGTTTATGTAGATAACTTGGTAAACATAGACAAGAATACGATCCCACACATAATCTCAATAGCTAGAGAGAGGCATATTTTGCTTATTATCTCTCCCCACATGCAGACTGTATATAAATGCAATCCTCTCACGCGGTTCTCCATCTGCCCTCACCTTCTTCCCTCCCTTCTAATGCGCTCTGTGTCATGGGGACCACAGTTTTCAGGATGCCTTTAGCATTGATCTCCATCCTGGTTAGGCCACCGGGAGACACGGGGTAAGACTGGAGGGCAGGAGGAAGGCAGGCTGCAAGGTATTATTCTCCCTCACCTTGGCACAGGCAGTGGCACCTGCTCTGAGGTCTGGTTCTGCCCCACCTCCTGGTCTCCCAGAACAGCCCACTACCATGGAACTGTGGGCTTTGCCTGCTGTTGCTAGCCTTGGGTTGCCTCACCATTCCCTGATAAATTACCTAGAGATGGACTTGCTGGAAACCAATTTCTTGTAATGCATGTCCTCTGTCTAAAACATTTAGAATGATTTTAACCAATACCCAGATTTAGGATCTGAAGGTTGTTTCTTACAAGGAGCACTGAGCCACGACTGTCCTTTGTACCAACTCTCCGTGCATGTCCATGGTTATTTTGTAAAGCTAAATTCCCAGAGGCAGAGGAATTGCTGGCTCCAAAGGTTTAACATTTTTGTTCACCTATGGCTATGTTTTCTTCCAGAAAGTTTTCACTGGCTTATACTCCCATTGCTGATCTTTTCTTGGTCACTAACTGTAATTGAAGCCCTCACTGGGTTCTCTGATTTGCAGCATTGTACATCAGACTGTGCAAGGCTGCAGACAGTGCCCCGTGATGTGAACCCTGGTCCTCAGCACCGTGCTTTGTACAATCTGCACAACTGTTCCCAGCAGTCCTGCTGATCCGAACACGTGGAACATGATGGGATCAGGCCCTGCCTACCATGCAAGAGCCGCTGAAAGTCAGAGTGCTGCACAGATGGAAAGGCTGTGGCCGAATTGCCTCTCGCTGCCCATGTGTGCATAACTGTTCCTCTGCCATCTCTCATGTCCCAGTCCTGATGGGGTCTCCCTGGTCCCAGTTCCTCCTCTTCCTAGAAGCTGTCTTTGACTTTATCTAGACACTTTCTCAGGTAACCTCCTATGTGCTTGCCCTGTTTCATGTACCCATGTCTTGCTGTTCCGTCTCCAGGCTCACTTTCTCAGCTGGGACACGCCTGACTTCCCCCAACGCCACTGTCTTCACTCTTCCTCTCGAAGTGCTTATAATAATGCTGTTATGGCAGGCTTGCTTGAAAAACCTATTCCTTTTTCTAGGATTCTGGTGATTATTCTTCCTCCAGAGTCCGATAGCCTACTCTTTTCTTGAGGCCCAGCGTATTTTAAAAATAGCTTTATTGAGGTGTGATCGATATATGAAAAACTTTTCATATTTAATGTATGCAATTTGATGGGTTTGAATATATGCATACACTTGGGAAACCATCATTACAATCAAAGTAATAAAAATGTCCATCACCTCTAAAGTTTCTTCCTGCCCCCACCTCCCCTTTTGTGGTAAGGACACTTAACCTGAGACCATTTCTCTTAACCACCTTTTTAAGTACTGTTAACAATAGGTGCACTGGTGTACCTTAGAGCTCCAGGACTTATTCATCTTGTATAACTAAAACTTTATACACCTTAGTCCACAATTCCTCTTTTTCCTGTCCCATAGCGTTGGCAGCCACCATTCTACTCTCTGCTTCTTTAAGTTTGACTATTTTAGATATGTCATACAAATGGAATCATGCAGTATTTGTCCTTCTGTGACTGGTTTATTTCACTTAGTATAATGTCTTCAAGGTTCATTCATCTTGTTGCAAGTGGCAGGATTTCCTTCTTCTTAAAGGCTGAATAATATTCCATTGCATCCATATGCCATACTTTCTTGATCTAATTATCTATTAATGAACATTTATGTTGTTGCTACATTTTGACTCTTGTGAATAATGCTGCAATGAGCACAGGAGTGCAAGTATCTCTTCAAGATTCTGATTTCAATTTTTTTTGGATACGTACCCAGAACTAGGATTGCTAGATCATATGGTAGTTCTACTTTTAAGTTTTTAAGGAACTGGAGACCCAGTGTATTAATCATGTTTTCAATTTTCTGTATCTTATGATGTTTGATATCTTAAAAATCTTACAGACCAAGGAAGAGACTGCCTCTCCCAGGAGTAGCCATTTTTTACAAGTAACAGAGGCTTGGTCCCAGATCATGACTTTCCTATGCAAACCAACCAACCCAACTGCCTCCTTACCAAACTTTCATACACCAAGCCATTTTTCCACCTGCCCTAAATCACCCAGGGCCAGGTATCAGGCAACCAGAAACCACCCTACAGCCCCAAGTTATTCAAACTTGCCCAACTTTGCCAGGTATAGCAAATAAAAATACAGGCCACCCAGTTAAATGTGAATTTCAGATCAATAACAAATATATTTTTATTGTCAGTCTTTCCCATGCCATATTTTGGGCATGCCTATGCTAACATTTATTTGTTGTTTATGCAGAAGTCAAATTTAACTAGGCATCTTATGTTTTATTTGGCAACCCTACAGCAAAAAACATTGTATTGTTTTCCTGCAGTGTAGATAATGCCAAGGGGCAGTGTGCTGTCGTTAGTAACCATTGTCATGTGAATTTATGGAAAACAATTGTTATCTTAAAGTAACTTACCAATCTACCGTGGCTTCCCCCACCCACCCCCAGCCATCTTCCCACTTCCTTCTCTCCTTTCCCCCCCATCTCACCTCCATTTCTCTCTTTATTTTCTTTAATCCTCTCACTGTTCCTCTGAGGGTTTGAAGGAAGTCTTCACAGCATCCTAAACCACATGCACAATGACTCTAGAGTGAATCTAGCAAAAGACACGTTTTTAAAGGCAATCTTTTCTGAAATGTCTTTATTAAGATATAATTCACAGACCGTAAAGTCCACCCATTTAAAGTGTACAAGTCTTTGATTTTAAGGATATTCACAGAATTGTGCAACCAGCCCCCAAATCTAAGTTTAGAATAGTTTTACTCCCCCAAGGTTACTGTACACATTAGCAGTCACCCCTCACCCTCCCTTCTCACCTAACACCTAGGCAACCGTTTCCTATCTCTATAGATTTACGCATTCTGGATATTTCCTATATGAACAGTCACATAATATGTGATCTTTTGTGACTGGCTTCTTTTACTTATTATGATGTTTTAAAGATTCATCCTGTAGTTGGCTGTGTCAACACTTAATTCTGTTTTATTGCCAAACAGTATTTGATTGCATGGATATACCATATTTTTAATCCATTCATCACTTTATGGCCATTTAGATTGATTTTGGCTATTACGAATAATGCTCCTATCAACACTTGCGTGCAAGTGTTTGTGTGGACATACATTTTCTTTATCTTGAGTGTATTGCTAAGAATAGAATTTCTGAATAATGTGATAACTCCATGTTTAATATTTTGATAAACTTGCAAACTGTTTTCACACTCCCACCAGTATGAGAATTTTGATTTTACACATCCTCACCAAATCTTGTTATTATCTGTTTTTTTTTTATTATAGCCTAGAAAGTGTGAAGTGGTATCTCGTTGTGGTTGCAATTTGCATTTCCTGATAGCTGACAATATTAAGCACTCTTTTATGGGCTTATTGACCATATTTATATTTTTGGAGAATTATCTATTCATACCCCTTGCCCATTTTAAAATTAGGTTATCTGTCTTTTTGTTGTGAAATTTCTTTGTGTATTCTGGATATAAATCCTTGTCAAATATATAATTAAAAATGCTTTCTGCCATTTTGTGGATTCTCTTTTCACTTTCTTGATAGCGTTCTTTGGTGCACAAGTTTTTAATTTTGATGAAGTTTAGCTTATCTAATTTTCTTTGGTTGCTTATGCTTTTGGTGTTATATCTAAGAAACTATTGTCTAATCTAAGGTCACAAAGAATTGCACCTATGTTTTCTTCTAAGAGTTTTGTAGTTTTAGCTCTACATTTAGGACTTTGGTCCATCTTGAGTTAATTTTTGTATGCGTTGTGAGGTAGAGTCCAAATGTATTCTTTTGTATGTATATATACAGTTTTCCTAGTATCATTTATTGAAGAGACTATTCTTTCTCCATTTAATTGTCCTCTAACCCTTGTTAAAAATCAATCAATCGTAAATGTGAGGCTTTGTTTCTGGATTCTTGGTTCTATCCCATAGATCTATATATCTATCCCTATGCTAGGACCATGCAGTCTTGCTTACTGTAGCTTTGTAATAGTTTTATTTTTTTATTTTTATTTTTTGAGACAGGGTCTCACTCTTTCATCCAGGCTGGAGTGTGGTGGTGTGATCACTGCTCACTGCAGCCTCGAATACCTGAGCTCAGTTGATTTTCCCACCTTAGCCTCCTGAGTAGCTGGGACTACAGGTACGTGCATCACTATGCCCGGCTAATTTTTTGTACTTTTTATAGAGATGGGGTTTCACTATTTTGCCCAGACTGGTCTCAAACTCCTGGTCTCAAGCGATCTGCCTGCCTCAGCCTGCCATGGTGCTGGGATTACAGGCGTGAGCCACCATGCACAGCCCTGTAATAGGTTTTGAAATCAGGAAGTGTGAGTCCTCCAACTGTTATTTTTAAACACTGTTTTGCTTATATTGGGGATATTGTAATTATATTTCCATATGAATTTTAGAATCAGATGGTCAGTTTCTATAAAAAAAAAGGCAGCTAGGATTTTGACAGTGATTAAATCTGTACGTGAATTTGGGAATATTGTCATGTTAATGTTAACTCTTTCAAGGCATGATCACAGAATATCTTTCAATTTATTTAGATCTTTAGTTTATTTTAAAAATATTTTGTAGCTTTCAGCGTACAAGTCTTGCACTTTTTTGATTAATTTTATTCCAAAGTATTTTACTCTTTTTTTGGTGCTATTAAAATGAAACTATTTTCCTAATTTAAATTTGAGATTGTTCACTGTTAGTGTATAGAAGCACAATTGATTTTTATTTTCTTATACAGAAAGAGGTTTATTTGGCTCACAGTTCTGCAGGCTGTACAAGAAGCATGGAACCAGCATTTGCTTCTGGTGAGGGCTTCAGGTTGCTTGCACTCCTGGTGGAAGGGGAAGGGAAGCCAGCATGTGCAGACGTTAGTGGTGAGAGAGGAAGCCAGAGAGAGAAAGGGAGGGAGGACATGTCAGACTCGTCTTAATAGCAGGCTTTCATGGGAACTAATAGGGCAAGAACTCACTCATTACTGTGATGATGGCGCCGAGCCACTGATGAGGGATCTGCCCTCGTGACCCAAACACCTCCCATTAGGCCCCCAACTCCAACATTGGGATCAAATTTTTTTTTAAACATTTTAAAACATTTTAAAATTTTAAGTTCTGTGGTGCATGTGCGGGATGTGGAGGTTTGTTACATAGGTAAACGTGTGCCATGGTGGCTTGCTGCATCCATCAACCCGTCACCTAGGTATTATGCCCAACATGCATTAGCTATTTTTCCTGATATTCTCCCTCTCCCTGACCCTCTACCGACAGGCCCCGGTGTGTGTTATATCCCTCCCTATGTCCATGTGTTCTCATTGTTCAGCTTCCACTTATAAGTGAGAACGTGTGGTGTTTGGTTTTCTGTTCTTGTGTTAGTTTGCTGAGGATAATGGCTTCCATCTCCATGCATGTCTCTGAAAAGGACATGATTTCATTCATTTTTATGGCTGCATAGTATTCCATGATGTATATGTACCACATTTTCTTTATCCAGTCTATCACTGATGGGCATTTGGGTTGATTCCACGTCTTTGCTATTGTGAATAGTGCTGCAGTGAACATACACATGCATGTGTGTCTTTATGCTAGAATAATTTATATTCCTTTGGATATATATTCAGTAATAGCATTGCTGGGTCAAATGATATTTCTGGTTCTAGATTTTTGAAGAGTTGTCACACCGTCTTCCACAGTGATTGAAATGATTTACATTTCCACTAACAGTGTAAGTGTTCCTATTTATCTGCAACTTTGCCAGCATCTGTTGTTTCTTGACTTTTTAATAATTACCATTCTGACTGGTGTGAGATAGTATCTCATTGTGGTTTTGATTTGCATTTCTCTAATGATCAGTGGTGTTGAGCTTTGTTTCATGTTCATTGGCCACATGTATGTCTTCTTTGGAGAAGTGTCTGTTTATGTCCTTTGCCCACTTTTTAAAAAATTATTACTTCAACTTTATTTATCTTTAAATTTTTTATTTCCATAGGTTTTTGGGGAATAGGCGGTTTTTTGTTACATTAATAACTTGTTTAGCGGTGATTTGTGAGATTTTGGTGCACCCACCACCTGAGCAGTATACGCTGTACCCAGTGTGTAGTCTTTTATCCCTCACCCCATTCCCATACTTTTTTTCGAGTCTCTAAAGTCCGTTGTATCATTCTTATGCTTTTGCGTCTTCATAGCTGAGCTCCCACTTGTAAGTGAGAACATACAATGTTTGCTTTTCTATTCCTGAGTTATTTCACTTAGAATGACAGTCTCCAATCCCATCCAGGTTGCTGCAAATGTCATTAATTCATTCCCTTTTGTGGCTGAGTAGTATTCCCTCATATATACACACCACAGTGTCTTTATCCACTCATCGATTGATGGGGATTTGGGCTGGCTCCACATTTTTGCAATTGTGAATTGTGCTGCTGTAAACATGTGTGTGCAAGTATCTTTTTTGTATACTGATTTCTTTTTCTTTGAATAGATACCCAGTAGTGAGATTGCTGGATCAAATGGTAGATCTACTTTTAGTTCTTTAAGGAATCTCCACACTGTTTTCCATAGTGGTTGTACTAGTTTACATTCCTACCAGCAGTGTAGAAGTGTTCCCTTTTCACCGCATCCATGCCAACATCTATTATTTTTTGATTTTCTGATAATAGTCATTCTTGCCAGTGGTAAGGTGGTATCACATTATGGTTTTGATTTGCATTTCCCTGATCATTAGTGATGTTGAGCATTTTATCATATGTTTGTTGGCCATTTGTTTATATTCTTTTGAAAATTGTCTATTCATGTCCTTAGCCCACTTTTTGATGTGATTGTTTGCTTTTTTCTTACTGATTTTTTTGAGTTCATTGTACAGTCTGGATATTAGTCCTTTGTCAGATGTATAGATTGTGAAGATTTTCTCCCACTCTGTGGGTTGTGTGTTTACTTTGCTGACTGTTCCTTTTGCCCTGCAAAAAGCTTTTTAGTTTAATTAATTCCCATCTATTTATCTTTGTTTTTGTTGCATTTGCTTTTGGGTTCTTAGTTATGAAGTCTTTGCCTAAGCCAGTGTCTAGAAGGGTTTTTACGATGTTACCTTCTAGAATTTTTGTGGTTTCACATCTTAGATTTAAGTCCTTGATACACTTTGAGTTGACTTTTGTATAAGGTGAAAAATAAGGATCCAGTTTCATTCTCCTACATGTGGCTAGCCAATTATTCCAGCACCATTTGTTGAATAGGGTGTCCTTTCCCCACTTTATGTTTTTGTTTGCTTTATTAAAGATCAGTTGGCTGTAAATATTTGGGTTTATTTCTGGGTTCTCTATTCTGTTCCATTGGCCTATGTGCCTATTTTTATACCAGTACCAGGCTGTTTTGGTGACTGTGGCCTTATAGTACAGTTTGAAATCAGGTAATGTGATGCCTCCAGATTTGTTCTTTTTGTTTAGTCTTGCTTTGGCTATGTGGGCTCTTTTCTGGTTTTATATGAATTTTAGAATTTTTTTCAAGTTCTGTGAAGAATAATAGTGGTATTTTGGTGGAAATTGCATTGAATTTGTACATTGCTTTTGGCAGTATGGTCATTTTTACAATATTGATTCTACTTATCCATGATCATGGGATTTGTTTCCATTTGTTTGTGACATTGATAATTTCTTTAAGCAGGGTTTTGTAGTTTTCGTTGTAGAGGTCTTTCACCTCCTTGGTTAGGTATATTCCTAAGTATTTTATTGTTTTCTGCAGCTATTGTAAAAGTGGTTGAGTTCTTGATTTGATTCTCAGCTTGGTCACTGTTGGTGTATAGCAGAGCTACTGATGTGTGTACATTAATTTTGTATCCTGAAACTTTGCTGAATTTATTTATCAGCTTTAGGAGCTTTTTGGAGGAGTCTTTAGGGTTTTCTAGGTATACTATCATATCATCAGCAAATAGTGACAGTTTGACTTCCTCTTTACTGATTTGGATGACCTTTATTTCTTTCTCTTGTCTGATTGCTCTGGCTAGGATTTCCAGGAATATGTTGAAGACTAGTGGTGAGAGTGGGCATCCTTGTCTTGTTCCAGTTCTTAGAGGGAATTCTTTCAACTTTTCCCCATTCAGTATTATGTTGGCTGTGGGTTTATCACAGATGGCTTTTATCACATTGAGACATGTCCCTTTTATGCCAATTTTGCTGAGGGTTTAAATCATAAAGGATGCTGGCTTTTTTCAGATACTTTTTCTGCATCTATTGAGATGATCATGAGATTTTTGTTTCTAATTCTCTTTATGTGGTGTACCACATTTATTGACTTGCATATGTTAAACCATCCCTGCATCTTTGGTATGAAATCTACTTGATCATGGTGGATTATCTTTCTGATACGCTGTTGGATTTGGTTAGCTAGTATTTTGTTAAGGATTTTTGCATCTATGTTCGTCAGGGATATTGGTCTGTAGTTTTCTTTTTTGGTTATGTCCTTTCCTGGTTTTGTATTAGGGTGATACTGGCTTCATAGAATGATTTAGGGAGGATTTCCTCTATCTTGTGGAATAGTGTCAACAGGATTAATACCAATTCTTCTTTGAATGTCTGGTAGAATTCAGCTGTGAATCCTTCTGGTCCTGGGCTGTTTTCTGTTGTTAATTTTTTAAATTACCATTTCAGTCTTGCTATTTGTTATTGGCCTGTTCAGGGTATCTAATTCTTCCTGATTTATGCTAGGAGGGTTGTATCTTTCCAGGAATTTATCCATCTCCTCTAGGTTTTCTAGTTTATGCATGTAAAGGTGTTCATAGTAACCTTGAATGATCTTTTGTATTTCTGAGGTGGCAATTGTAATATCTCCTGTTTCATTTCTAATTGAGCTTATTTGGATCTTCTCTCTTCTTTTCTTGGTTAATCTTGCTAATGGTCTATTAATTTTATGTTTTCAAAGAACCAGCTTTTTGCTTCATTTCTCTTTTGTATTTTGTTGTTGTTGTCATTTCAATTTCACTTAATTCTTCTCCGATCTTGGTTATTTCTTTTCCTCTGCTGGGTTTGGGTTTGGTTTGTTCATGTTTCTCTAGTTCCTTGAGGTGTGATCTTAGATTGTCTATTTGTGCTCTTTCAGACTTTCTGATGTAGGCATTTAAGACTATGAACTTTCCTTTTAGCACTGCCTTTTTTGAATCCCAGAAGTTTTGATAGGTTGTGTCACTAATATTGTTCAGTTCAAAGAATTTCTAAATTTCTATCTTGATTTCATTGTTGACCTAATGATTATTCAGGAGCAGGTTATTTAATTTCCATGTATTTGCATGGTTTTGAAGGTTCTTTTTGGAGTTGATTTACAGTTTTATTTCACTGTGGTCTGACAAAGTACTTGATATAACTTCAATTAAATTTATTGACACTTGTTTTGTGGCCTATCATATGGTCTATCTTGGAGAAAGTTCCATGTGCTGGTGAATAGAATGTATATTCTGTGGTTGTGGGGTAGAATGTTCTGTAAATATCTAAGTTCACTTGTTCCAAGGCATAGTTTAAATCTATTGTTTCTTTGTTGACTCTCTGTCTTGATGACCTGTCTAGTGCTGTCAGTGGAGTAGTGAAGTCTTTGACTATTATTGTGTTGCTGTCTATCTAATTACTTAGGTCTAGCAGTAATTGTTTATAAATTTGGGAGTTCCAGTGTTAGGTGCATATATATATAGGACTGTGATATTTTCCTGTTGGACCAAGCCTTTTAACATTATATAATATCCCTCTTTGTCTTTTTTAAATGCTGTTGCTTTAAAGATTGTTTTGTCTGATATAAGAATAGCTACTCCTGCTTGCTTTTGGTGCCCATTTACATGGAATATCTTTTTCCATCCCTTTACCTTAAGTTTATGTGAGTCCTTATATATTAGGTGAATCTCCTGAAGGCAGCAAATACTTGGTTGGTGAATTCTTAATCCTTCTGCAATTCTATATCTTTTAAGTGGAGCATTTAGGTCATTTACATTCAACATTAGTATTGAGATGTGAGGTACTACTATTCCATTCATCCTGCTATTTGTTGCCTGTATACCCTGGGTTTTTTTATTTTTATTTTTGTTTTATAGGTCCTGTGAGATTTATGCTTTAAGCAGGTTCTGTTTCAATGTGTTTCCAGTATTTGTTTCAAGATTATGAGCTCCTTTTAGCAGTTCTTGTAGTGCTGGCTTGGCAGTGCTGAATTCTCTCAACATTTGTTTATCTGAAAAAGACTGTTCTTTCTTTCATTGATGAAGCTTAGTCTTGCTGGATACAAAAATCTTGGCTGATAATTGTTTTGTTTAAGGAGGCTGAGTTAGGGCCACAGTGCTTCTGGCTTGCAGGGTTTCTGCTGAGAAATATGCTATGAATCTGATAGGTTTTCCTTTACAGGTTACCAATTCTTTCCTTTGTCTTAACTTTAGATAACCTGATGACAATTTGCCTAGGCAATAATCTTTTTGCGATGAATTTCCCAGGTTTTCTTTGAGCTTCTTGTATTTGGATGTCTAGGTCTCTAGCAAGTTTTCCTTGATTATTCACCCTGAATATGTTTTCCATACTTTTAGATTTTTCTTCTTCCTCAGGAACACCAATTATTCTTAGGTTTGGTCACTTAACATAATCCCAAATTTCTTGGAGATTTTGTTCATTCTTTAATTCTTTTTTTCTTTGTCTTTGTTGGACTGGGTTAATTCAAAAACCTTGTCTTTGAGCTCTGAAGTTCTTTCTTCTGCTTGTTTGATTCAGTTGCTGAGACTTTCTAGAACATTTTGCATTTCTTTGTGTCCTTTATTTCCTGAAATTGTGATTGTCTTTGATTTATGCTGTCTATTTCACTGAAGTTTTCTCACCTTGTTTCTTTTATCATTTTTTTTATTTCCTTAAATTAGACTTCACGTTTCTCTTGTGCCTCCTTGATTTGCTTAATAATCAACCTTCTGAACCCTTTTTTAGGTAAATCAGGGATTTCTTCTTGTTTTGGATCCATTGCTGGTGAGCTAGTGTGATTTTTGGGGAGTGCTAAAGAAACATGTTTTGTCATATTACCAGAATTGTTTTTCTGGTTCTTTCTCATTTGGGTAGGCTATGTCAGAGGGAAGATCTGGGGCTCAAGGCAACTATTCAGATTCAGTTGTCTCATGGAGTGTTCCCTTGATGTAGTTACTCCCTCTTTTCCTAGGGATGTGGCTTCCTGAAAGCCCAGATGTAGTGATTGTTACTGCTCTTCTGGATCTAGCCACCCAGCAGGGCTACCAGGCTCCAGGCTCGTACTGGGGGCTGTCTGCACAGAGTCCTTTGATGTGAACTGTCTTCAGATCTCTGTCACGGGTACCAGCACCTGCTCCAGTGGAGGTGGCAGGGGAGTGAAAAGGACTCTGTGAGGGTCCTAGTTTTGGTTGTTTAATGCACTGTTTTTGTGATCTCCTGCCAGGAGGTGACACTTTCAAGACGGCACCAGCTGTAGTGTGTAGGGAGGATCACGAGGTGAGTGGGGCCTTAGAACTCCCAAGAGAATATGCCCTTTGTCTTCAGTTACCAGGGTGGGTAGGGAAGGACCATCAGATGGGGGCAGGGTTAGGCATGTCTGAGCTCAGGCTCTCCTTGGGAGGGGCTTGCTGTGGCTGCTGTGTTGGCTAGAGGTGTGGTTTCCAGGTCAATGGAGTTATGTTCCCAGAAGGATTATGGCTGCCTCTGTTGTGTCATGCAGGTTGTCAGGGATGTCGGGGAGAGCCGGCAGTTACAGGCCTCACCCAGTTCCCAAGCAAACCAAAAGGCTAGTCTCACTCCCAACATGTCCACCACCCCCAGCAGCACCGAGTTTGTTTCTAGGCAGTGGGTGAGCAGGGCTGAGAATCTGCCCTTGGCTACCACCTATCCCCTGAGAAAGCAAGCAGGCCTTTTGTGCCTCTCCATCTGTTGAGTCTGCACACCGAATTCACACCCCCACCCCATGTTCTGGCCAAGAGACTTCACATTCAGTTGGAATTATCACAAAGTTCAGCTGGAGGTTTCCTTTTCCCTGTGGTCTTTTCTCAGTTCCTCTGGCAGCCCTCCCCAAAGATCTCTGTGAGACAAGGCAGAAACAGCTTCCCAGGGTACCTAGAGAGCCCAGAGGGCTTTTCCTGCTGCTTCGTCTACTCCTGTATTTCTCTAGGCTCTGTAATTTGACCCAGCTCCAGGTAAGGTCTAGACCTTTAGGTTCCCCAGTGAAGGTGTGTGTCCAGGGGCAATGATCCCCCTTTCCCACTTTCACAGCTTGGACACTCACAGTGTTTGGGGGGTGTCTTCTGGGTCCTGCAGGAGCAATCTGCTTCCATCAGAGGGTCTGTGGATTCTCTCAGCTTTCCTGGTATATTCCTACAATAGTTCTGGAGCAAAAGTTCACGATGTGGGTCTCCACACGCTGCTCTCCTGTCCGAGTGGGAGTTGCAATCTAGTCCTGCCTCCTATTTCATTGCCCACTTTTTAATGGGGTTGCTTATGTTTTTTCTTGTCAGTTTGTTTAAGTTCCTTGTAGACTCTGGATATTAGACCTTTGTCAGATGGATAGATTGCAAAAATTTTCTCCCATTCTGTAGGTTGTCTGTTCACTTCGATGATAGTTTCTTTTGTTGTGTAGAAGCTCTTTCGTTTAATTAGATCCCATTTGTCAATTTTTGCTTTTGTTGCAATTGCTTTTGGTGTTTTCATCATGAAATCGTTGCTCATGCCTATGTCCTGAATGATATTGCCTAGATTTTCTTGTAGGGTCTTTATAGCTTTGGGTTTTACATTTAAGTCTTTAATCCATCCTGAGTTAATTCTTGTATAAGGTGTAAAAAAGTGGTCTAGTTTCAATTTTCTGTATATGGCTAGCCAGTTCTCCCAGCACCATTTATTAATTAGGAAATCCTTTCTCCATTGCTTGTTTTTGTCAGGTTTATCAAAGAGCAGATGGTTGTAGATGTGCAGTCTTATTTCTGAGTTCTCTATTCTGTTCCATTGGTCTATGTGTCTGTTTTTGGTACCAGTACCATACTGTTTACAGTTGGTTACTGTAGCCTTTTAGTATAGTTTGAGGTTGGGTAGCATGATGCCTCCAGCTTTGTTCTTTTTGCTTCAGACTATCTTGGCTATCTGGGCTCTTTTTTGGTTCCATATGAATTTTAAAATGGTTTTTTCTAATTCTGTGAAGATTGTCAATAAAGGAAGTGAAGGACTTCTTCAAGGAGAATTGTAAACCACTGCTTAAGGAAATCAGAGAGGACACAAACAAATGGAAAAACATTCCATGTTCATGGATAGGAAGAATCAATATTGTGAAAATGACTACACTGCCCGAAGTAATTTATAGATACAGTTGATTTTTAAATACCGACTTCATATCCTATAACATTGCTGAACCGATTTATTAATTCTAGTAATTTTTTGTGCATTCCATAGAGTTTTCTATGTATAAGATCATGTCCTCTACAAATAGAGATAATTTTAATTCTTTCTTTCCAATCTAGATACTACTTACTTCTTCTTCTTTTTTTTTTTTTTTTGTGGGGGGGGGGGGGGGCCTGGCTAGAACCTCCAGAACAGTAATGAATTGAAGTGGTAATAGTGAACATTTGTGTCTTATTCCAAATCTTAGGAAGCATTCAGTCTATAACATTTAAGTAGGATGTTATCTATGGGCTTTTTATAGATGCCCTTTATCAGCTTAACAAAATTTACTTCCATTCCTAGTTTATTGATTAATTTTATATGAAAATATATTGAATTTTGTCAAACCTTTTTTGTGTCTATTGAGATGATCATGTGTTTTTTGTTCTTTATTCTATTAATATGGCATTATATTTATTAGTTTTTGGATGTTAAACTGATATTAAATGCCTGGTATAAATCCCACTTGATCATAGTGTATAATTCTTTATATATTTGCTGGATTTAGTTTTCTAGTATTTTGTTGAGAATTTTTGCATGTATAATGATAAAATGTATTAGTCTATAGTTTTCTTGTGATATCTTTATTTGGTTTTGATATCAGTGTAATAATGAAATGAGATGAAAAGTATTATTTCATCTTATTCAGAAGGGTTTGCAAAGAATTATTATTAATTATTCTTTTACTATTTGATAGAATTCACTAAGAAAGCCATCTGGGCTTTTCTGAGAGGAAATTTAAAAAATTACTAATTTAGTGTCTTTACCTGTTATAGGTCTATATAGATTTTCTGTTTATGCTTGAGTCAGTTTCATTAGTTTTTCTTTCCAGATATACGTCCATTTCATCTAAATTCTCAAATTATTTGGCATACAATTACTTATAATATTTCTTTATAATCCTTTTTATTTTTGAAAGGATAGCATGATGTTCCCACTTGTTTAAATGTATATGTTGGATATGGTATGGTAAAGCTGGTGTGACCACAGGAGGAAATGAGAACCGGTCTTGAAGGAAAGAAGGTTATTACACTCCCAGGGAGGGAGTGACTGCATAGGATGCAGAGCTACACAGGAATACAACCACTAGTGTGGTCAACAAAATGGGTGGAGGAGAGAGAGAGAGAGAGAGAGAGAGAGAGAGACAAAGAGACAGAGAGAGTGAGTGAGAGAGCACTTGTGGGCCAAAATCTTTATTGGAGTAATCTGGGGTGTGGTTGAGATTTATCAAAACCAGGGAATTTCACTGGGTGGTTTGAAAGGAAGCCAAGCACATGAAGAAAGGAGAATAGAGTACAGCAGTTGGGTTTGTTTTCAAAGAGCATCAGTGGGTGTGGGTTCACAATTAGAGCAGTGAGGAAGATGCTGAAGCACCAAAGTTTGAACTCAAAATGGAGGTGTTTTCGAACACATTACTTTAATTCCTGATTGTAGTAATTTGAATCTAAGGTCAGCAGTAATGTCTCTACTCTCATGCTTGATTGTAGTAATTTGAGTTTTCCCTCATTTTCTTGGTTAGTCTAGCTAAAAGTTTGTTAATTTTATTTTTTCATAGAACTTTTAGTTTTGTCGACTTTGTTGATCATTTTCTATTCTTTTTAAAAACTTATATCCTTCTAATCTTTACAGTTTGTTTCATTTTCTTTGGGTTTGGTTTACTCTTCTTTTTCTAGTTTTTAAGGTAGGAGGTGGTTAGGTTTTCATTTGAAATCTTTCTTCATTCTTAATATAGGTGTTTACAGCTATAAGTTTGCCTCTGAGCATGGCTTTAGCTGCATCCCCTATATTTTGGTATGATATATTTTTGTTTTTACTTATGTCAAGATATTTCCTCATTCATTTGTGGTCAGAGAACATACTTTGTATGACATATGACTTTAATACTTTTAACTTTCTTTTTTTTTTTTTTTTTTCTGAGATGGAGTCGCACTCTGTTGCCCAGGCTGGAGTGCAGGATCTCGGCTCACTGCAACCTCCACTTCCTGGGTTCAAGCTATTCTCCTGCCTCAGCCTCCCGAGTAGCTGGTACTACAGGTATGCACCACCATGCCCAGCTAATTTTTGTATTTTTAGTAGAGACAGTACACCCTACTGGCCATGTTGGTCAGGCTGGTCTCAAACTCTTGACCTCAGGTGATCCACCCACCTCAGCCTCCCAAAGTGCTGGAATTATAGGCATGAGCCACTGCACCTGGCCTTAACTTTCTTAAAACTTGTTATGACATAAAATATAGTCTGTGCTGGAGAATGTCCTATGTGGACTTAAAAAGAATATGTATTCTGCTATGTTTGGCTAGAGTGTCCTATAGAGGTCTATTAGGTCTGTTTGTTTTATAGTGTTGTTCAAGTCCTTTATTGCATTGTTTATTTCTTCTTTCAATTCTGTCAGTTTCACATATTTTGCAGCTTTGTTGTTAGATGGAAATATATGTATATATATTTTCATTTTAAATAAGAAGCTTATTTAAAGAACAAGATGCTTGACTTGAAGGGAAAACTAATTAGGATTTTTTTTTAAGAGTAATTTATCCCTGCCTAAAGACAGATTGACCTACATGTAACAGCTACATGCAAAAAGTTATAAAATTGTCTTTGGTTTTACAACGATATATGAAAAACATTAAAATTCTCCAACTGAACAAAGTATGCAGGAATTTGTATGCTTTTTTTGTTGTTAAAACGGTGAGAGCAAAATAACTTACTGGAATATAAAGATAAGAGCTGAATGAGCATGCCGCTAATGGAGAAAGGGGGTATTTTCACAGAATCAGTATTTTTCCCCATCCTGTCTCCACTTGATGTCAACCAAAATATACCATTCGCTGTTTAATTAAAAAAAATGCAATATGCTTGTGCACATATACCAGCTACTTTATGTATAATAAAGGAATGGAGAAGGGGGAAATGAAAGAATAGAGAAAACTATACTGTAGCAGTCAGGATGTGGTGGAACCAAACTGCAGTTTTCTAACTGAGAATGTCATCTTGGTCTGTAAAGAACAGAGTTCTGGAGGAAAGAAGTAGGCTGCCTTCTCAGTAGACACTCCCGTCTGCTGTTGGAACACATCAATTGTACCTTCATCCTCCATTTCCAACTGCGCAGTTACATGTGTTTCATTGATTGGTTACCAGTCAAATTGGAATCTGATCCGCCTCGTTGACAATCCCTGTCATTCACAGTAGGCGTTCATTAATTTACTAAGTGGCGTATGCCTCTTAATCTTAAACTGCACCACAGAATCATCCTGTCCCACCACCTTCAAATTAATATGATCGTTGTTTTCAGTCTTAACTCCTTCGTTGGAATTTTTGTTGGCCATGACGAGCACCAGAGTCTCCTCAGCTTAAAAGAGGTACCAGGTCCACACTGAGCGAGCATAGCAGTGGCAGCCATATGTGTTTATAATGGTTATTATTTACTGGTAGACTGACCCTTTTATTATCATAAAATGTCCTTCATTTCTAACAGCCTTTTCTGTTTTAATGTCTATTTAGTCTGATCCTAATATAAGCACTCCACCTCTCTCATGAATGCTGTTAGCACACTATTTTTCCATCCTTTCATTTTAACCCTTGTGTATCACTGAATCTAAAATGTTTCTCTTGTAGATAGCATATCCTTTGTTCTTCTTTTAAAATTCAGTCTGATAATCTCTGTTTTGATTGGCTTATTTAATCCATTCATATTCTACTCTGCTTCTCTTGGAGTGACATGCCTGCCCTACAAGAGTAGCATTTGGTCTTCTGGGCTTGTCCCTCCTGGTGTGGAATCTCTGCCCTATCAGCAAGTTTTGATGGAATCAATCAGAGCCTCAGTATTGTCAGCCTGCTGTGCCTGGGGTAGACATTTAGACATTCTGCCCTACATGGAAGAGCAATTGGGGGAATGGAACTTCATCCTTTGAGCCACGCCTGCCTGAAATTCCAGGGAGCATGGGAAATGCCGGTTGCCTACCCCTCTCAAAATGAAACTGTAACCCTAAATGGAAAGCCAGGTAGAGAGAGAGCACCTGTCTTGTCTGCACCTGCCCAGGGCAGAACACACGTAGTCAAGTTACACAGAACTGGGGTGGGCGAGCAGCTTAAATGCTTCAGACTCAGGCTGTTCTTACTGAGATTTCCTAGTTTTCTTAAATGAATATTTCTCCATTTGCTAAATGCCCTTAGAACAATTTGTAGACATTTTAGGTAATTGTTTAAAAAATGATTTTTCACTAGTTAAGTGGTTTATTTTTTTTCTGGGGAGAGAGTTACTATGCTCTTTCTGCTGCCATTCTAGAATTACACCTCTAAAGACAACACTGAACTATTTAGAATAAAGCATTTTTTTTCAATTGCCTGCCCTTGTGAGCTAAAAATTACAATTTTTATTCAATGTAAAGTTCTAGCTCAAGTATCTTTATTTGTGACAAATGATACTGAGTCCCTCGATGTTATTAAATATTTGGAATTCTACATTTTTGTTATAACGTCTTGATTCAGAGAAGAAAGTAAGTTATATGGCTGCAGTTCTTGTTCCATGAATATTTAGCTCAACGATTTGTGAGTTTTTATTAACAAAATGCCTTTGGACCAATAGTCCTGTAATAAACTTAAACCCTCAATTTAGTCTTAGCGACAAATTTGTCATTTTGTATTTGTTCCCTAAAGGGAAATTTAGTCTAGCTAGAGTATATCGGGGGTTTTATGACAAGACACCAAAGCTGTGTAGCTCCTTAAATACTTAATCATGTGTGTATTCTATTCAAATACTTTAAGATTTTTATGTTTGCTGGATAATTTATCTAATCTTTTTTATCCCCGCTGTTAATGGTAAACCAATAACTGAAAGAAATCAAGGCTAAGAGCCAAGTTACCTTTATGCTGTGCTATATTCTTTGATCTTTGCTGAAATTGAGTGGGGCAGGGATACATTTTTCCCTTGGCCCTTTAAAGATTACTTATAAAAATTGTTAGTATCTTTCATATATCTAACATACACACTGGATGTGTGTATTTCCCATATAATCTCTGAATCATTGAAACTTATGGATAATCCATTTAAACTACACTTACTAAGTAAGTGGTCTGCTGAAAACACATTCATGTGGGCCGTAGCTTTTAAGCAGGTTTTAGTTTAATCATTTAGGCTCATAAGAAGCCAGCTAATTACTCCTTCCCTTTCCTCCATAAACCAACAAGCTTATTGAAGACTTACTGTGGGTTATACTCCAAGTGGGATCGTAGGGATACACAGAAAGATTAAACTGAGCTTTGCCTGCAGGGATCATTGTCTCAGGCAGGCTAAGTTGCATGCGTTAAATTATTAAGTAAATGAAAGTTTGTTGTTGTGTTTCTGATTTTCTCTTTCCTTTCTACTGGGTTACCTCTTTCTCTTATCAAGTATGATCTGCCCTCTTTTCTTGCTCTTCTTTTCATGCTTTCAAACACTGATTTAGAAAGGCATGCTCACTACATGAATCTAAGTTGATGCCTGTCTTCTGAAGGAATCTGTGGGGCCAGGAATTATGGTTGTACCGGCAGTGCCCTATGCAAGAGCACCTGGCCAAGGGGGCAACTGGCTGGGCTGAATCCAGGCCACTCTCCACTTGCCAAGTCCTGAATCTCTGTGGATGTTTTAAGGAAATAGGGGTGCCATTTATAACTTCTGTGCCTCATGGAGTGCCTTTGACTCATTCTTGTGAAGGTGCTGTATGCGCAAGCTGACATCCTGAATATCTTAGTTTTAAGAAAAGGCTCTGTCCTTTATTATTGGGTTTTAAAAAGTCAGGGAGAAGATAGACTATTTGGGGATTCAAGGGCCATCCTTGTGATTATAAACTCCTAGAATGAAGCTTGATGTCTACTGTACTTCTAGGTAAAGCAGATTTAATGTCTACCACTTCCATATCCTGTATATTTGTGAGATAATGAGACTAGCTCCTCCCATATTAGTTAAGAGGTAAGACTAAAAACCAGTAATAGGCTTTTTAAGTTAAGGTTTCAGTTATAGATATTCCTGCAAGAGAAAAGACAATGAATTGAATAGTCGTAAAAAACCGTAACTTAGGTGGGTGCTTAATGTCAGTGATCTTGGCCAAGATAGGGACAGGGGAACCCAGCCTTGGGACACTGGAAAGAATGAAGCCAGGTACAGATGATCACTCATCAAAACAGAGGACATGGAGTTCAAATTTTAGATTAAAAGTATGCGAACTACTAAGGTTTGAATGTTTGTGCCCTCCAAAATCATGTTGAAATTTAATTGCCATTCTAACAGTATTAAGAGGGAGACCTTAAAGAGGTGACCAGGCCATGAGGACTCCTGTCTCATGGGATGAATCCCATTATGAGGGTGAATTAGATCCCCTGTTGTCTCTTTGCTCTTCTGCCTTCTGCCACGGGACAATGCAGCAAGAAAGCCCTCACCAAATGCCAGTGCCTGGATTTTGGACTTCCCAGCCTCCAGAACTGTAAGAAAATATAGTTCTGTTCTTTATCAATTACCCGTCTCAGGTATTCTGCTGTAGAAGCACAAAACGGGGCATGACATCAACTTAAGTATCCTGCTGGAACCTGAATGAGGAGGCACAGTGATCTAAATCATAGTCAGACTTCCCCGCAAGGTAGGTCTAAACCATTCAAATTCGAGGTGAAATTAGAATTGGAGAAAACTACTGTGGAACCAGAAAGGCACATGGCAAACTAGGATCTTTGATGGAAACTTGGAATCTTGGAATGGGAGCCTGCCTTTTAACTTAAGGAGAAAGGAAAAAGACAAGAAGAGAACTTGTGCTCTTTCTAGAGTCAGAGGCAAAGCCTGGGGTAGAGGAGTTGAGGGATAAACATGGTGTTGGGAATGACCATACAAATAGTGCCCCTGTCCTCAGCACACACATGGGCAGTGCCTCCTAGTTGGCTTAGCGTTCCCTTGGGAACCCATGGCCAGAGAGTGTCAGTGTGTTTCAGGTCCAAGATTTTCTCCTTCCCACCTGTGTCTTGATGCCAGAAAAGACTGAGAGAGAGAGAGAGAGAGAGAGAGAGAAAGAGAAAGAGAAAGAGAAAGAGAACACACTACCATTGATTTTGTTTGAGTTTTGGTGGAAAATTTACATATGATTAGCTGCAACATTTTGAGAGAGCCAATTAATTTTGTAACCTTGTAATATTTAGTAGGATTTATTTGGTCTCTTAATTCTATAACTTTTGAAGGAGTTTGAAGATGTTTGCTTGGCTTCTATTTTGTTGGAGAGAGCATACTATGTATGTAAATTGAAATTAATGTCATAGAAAGATCTTCTTTCTAATTAGAATGTTAAAAAATAATTTATTAATGGCTAGGTATTACAAAGTTATATGTTTGCATTCAACAAGAGCAGCAGGCACTTAGCCACTAATGATCAAATTATCATAAAAAACCTGGAGAATCATTTCTTCACTTTCTCCCTATGTTATGAGCCTTCCTATTTATTACAATAATTAAAATAGTTAACAATGACTCTAAAATATTTGTATTGTAAATTTTATTTACAAAGCAATGACTTCATTTTTGAGTGATTTTTAATTTATACAAAAGAGAAAAGAGGTTGATATTGCTGTGAGTGCCAACAATGCATTGAACTATGATTTAAGTTCACCCAACCTCATGATATACCTAGTGCATGTAGTATAACATTAAAGTTGAGACTTTCTCATTGGCAAAACTGTCCTAAGTGCTTTCACGTGTAGAGTATTTTCTGAATGTGTGTGTGTGTTAGGATATTTCTTAGGTTTTTGATAGTTGCCATGATTGGCATGTGGTTTTAGAAATTGCCATTGTCCCCACTGCCCCCCACTGATACAAGAGATCTTCATGGAAAAAGTAGACTTTCCAGAGCTTTTAGGACAGAAAAAAACAAGCCAGGAAAAGGAATATCTTCCAGGTTTAGGACTATATTTGTCTATTATAATGGGGTTATGATATATCTCAAGCTCGACTCTTTAGCAGACTTATCTAGAGAACTTGTTAAAAAGCAGATGCCTGCACCTAACCCTGGGGAGTCTGTTATATATGCCTGTGGTGGGCTCAGGCATTTTTTATAAGCGCCTCAGAAAACCCTGATATACATACCATATTTGCAAGTAAACCACTGTGTTATTCCATTTGCATTTCTATAAAGGAATACCTGAGGCTGGGTAATTTATAAAGAAAAGAGGTTTATGTGGCTCATGGTTCTTCAGGCTGTACACAAAGCCTAGTGCCTACATCTGCTTCTGGTGATGGCCTCAGGAAACTTGCAATCGTGGCAGAAGGGGAAGGGGAACCAGGACATCACATGGGAAGAGAGGGAGCAAGAGAGACACCAGGCTCTTTTCAACAACCAGATCTCACATGAACTCACAGAGTGAGAACTCACTCATTACCATGAGGATGACGCCAAGCCATTCATAAAAGATCCACCCCCATGACCCAACACCTGCTACTAGGCCCTACGGCCAACATTGGGGATCACATTTCAACATGAGATTTGGAGGGGACCAAACATCCAAACCATATCAACAACATGTATTCTGTTACAGTAATTTTCTTTTCTTTTTTTTTTTTTTTTTTTTTTTTTTGAGACAGAGTCTCGCTCTGTCACCCAGGCTGGAGTGCAGTGGCACGATCTCAGCCCACTGCAAGCTCTGCCTCCTGGGTTCAGCCATTCTCCTGCCTCAGCCTCTCCAAGTAGCTGGGACTACAGGCGCCCGCCACCACACCCGGCAAATTTTTTATATTTTTAGTAGAGACGGGGTTTCACCGTGGTCTCGATCTCCTGACCTCGTGATCCACCCGCCTCCGCCTTCCAAAGTGCTGGGATTACAAGCGTGAGCCACCGCGCCCGGCCCTGTTACAGTAATTTTCAAAGAGCCACTGAACACTTTTATTATGAAAATTGATGAGTCTACCGATTTTTTTTTATACTGGATTGTTTTCTTTCATTGTAAATTGCAAAGGACAGTAAAGCTTGGTGTAACTTATTAGAGTTTAAAGTAGAAATTAATAATTCTGCTTCACAACGCAATTTATAAATTCCACAATAGACTAAATACTTTAATAAATGTTAACAGATTTTGTTGACTGAAACTTAGATATGCTATAACATGGTTCAATAACTATTACTGGTAGGATTCTGGTTGGATCAATGCAGCTGAGAGTGCCCCTCATGTGCTGGTTCAACCCTGTGCTAAAAAGATTTTTGGGCCCTAGGAAAAACGATCTCAAAGAATGAACCTACTCAAGAAAGTGTAATTGAGAGTTTTGGATTATATTCATCGATTTTGGAAACTT
The DNA here is from genome assembly GCF_000001405.40 of Homo sapiens. Classification (NCBI taxonomy): domain Eukaryota; kingdom Metazoa; phylum Chordata; class Mammalia; order Primates; family Hominidae; genus Homo; species Homo sapiens. The sequence continues at coordinate 153,150,558 of NC_000007.14, forward strand.
GGCTTTTGTTAGAGTAAAATCAGTTTTAAGTATTTTTGAAAAAGGATTATGAAGGATTTGCATTTGTTTAATATGAACTAAAATTCTGCAAGTTGCCTGAAATGTTACCATTATAGATTTAATTCTTTAATAAGTGGCCTGTGGTATGTCTGTCACAGCAAAAATGTTATTTGGTGTCATTGGTCCATTATACTTTAGAGGTATTTCAAGGTAGTGAAAAGGCTACCACAGTTGAAACGGTAAGATTTGCTTTTATTAACTTTGTGATCTTGGCCAAGGCATCTGGCCTGTCTGAGCTCAACGTAGAGTCAGAACTAAGGAGTTTTACAATATCTCTTCTCAATGTTCCCCCCTGCCCCATCCTAACAAAAAAGTGAATCCATTATTAGACATCAGAAGTGGAACACTTCTCAGGAATGTAGACACCCAGTTTTTCTCTAGAGCTGGCCCTTGATGGGCTACAACACCAGATTGGTAAATTTGGAGTAGGCAGTGTTGCCTGTGTCAAGACTTGCATTCTCCTCTTTTCTAGTGTCTCAACATCTTTTTCCTTTCTCCTTGTCTTTTCCCCTAGTCCTGTTGTGCAGCTCAGGGCTAGGCATTGTGAGATTCCCATGGCACCTGGATCACCCTTGAAGTGGACATAGTGATAGCTGTTTTCTTCTGTCAAAATTGGCTGCCACATTTATATGCTGGTTTTGTTCTCATCTATGCCAATCTCTGAGAAACCTTTGAACTGTCATTTTTTATTAAGAATATAGTTCTCCTGCTTAGCAATTAATATTTAGGGTAAAAAAATCCCCCAAGTTGGAAGAGAATGAAAAGACACAGTTGCGGAAATGAATATGGCATTGTGAACCCCCAAAATCTGAGACAGGTCTCAGTTAATGTAGAAAGTTTATTTTGCCAAGGTTTAGGACCTGTGCCCATGACACAGCCTCAGGAGGTTCTGAAGACATGAGCCCAAGGTGGTCAGAGCACAGTTTAGTTTTACACATTTTAGGGAGACATGAGACATCAATCAACGTATCTAAGATGAACATTGGTTTGGTCTGGAAAGGCAGGACAACTCTAAGCAGGGAGGGGGCTTCCAGGTTATAGGTAGGTGAGAGACAAAGGGTTGCATTCTTTTTGAATTTGTGATTCACCTTTCCAAAAAAGGCAATCATATATGCATTTATCTCAGTGAGCAGAGGGATGACTTTGAATAGAGTGGGAGGCAGGTTTGCCCTAAGCAGTTCCCAGCTTGACTTTTCCCTTTAGTTTAGTGATCTTGGGTCCCAGAGATTTATTTTCCTTTCACAGCATGAATGGGAGAGAGTGAGAAGTCTGGCCTTATCGAAGGAGGTAGGACTAAATTCTAGGGGCCTTGAAAGCCAGTTTAAGGCCAGGTGCGGTGACTCACGCTGTAATCCACTTAAGGCCAGGTGCAGTGACTCACGCTGTAATCCATGCACTTTGGGAGGCCAAGGTGGGCAGATCACTTCACGTAGGAGTTCGAAACCAGCCTGGCCAACATGGTGAAACCCCGTCTCTATTAAAAATTAGCTGGATTTGGTGGTACATGCCTGGAATCCCAGCTACTTGAGAGTCTGAGGCACGAGAATTGTTTGAACCTGAAGGGCGGAGGTTGCAGTGAGCTGAGATCGTGCCACTGCACTCCAGCCTGGGCGAGAGAGCAAGACTCTGTCTCTGAGAAAAAAAAAAAAAAAAAAAAAGCCAGTTTAAATTGGAAGGGAAAGGGATAATGGAGTCAGGCACACTCCGAGATGGAGACTGAAGTGCAGGAATTTTAGCAGGAAGCGTTTTCCAGACTGGCACCTGTGGAAAGCAGGATTGAGCAGAGGTAAACATGGCATTGATTCAGTCTCAAAAAGGCCTCAGCCAGCTCCACTGGGAGCCCTGAAGCTGGGTGGGCTTTTAGGGTCATCTCTTGGCTGATGGGACCTGGCCTTTTTATCCCATATTGGACAATCTTAGGTGTTGGCTTCCCTTGGCCCTTGGAGTGACAGGTTATCTTCATGGGGGGATTTGCAGAAGGCAACATCTTAGGCATGTTGGCCAGACCAGTCTCAGGAGCTGAGGAAAAATCCTTCAGCCCTGGGGAGAATCTGGATGGCACATCATGACCTTCATTTTGGGAGGTCATTGCTGTTTCCTGTGCAATCTGTTGTTAGTGGCAAAATGGTCACTTGGAAGTGGTTAGGTACTGTTGAAAGAATAACTGACTAGTCTTTTAAGCTCTAAGATAGGAAGCAAACTCATAGGCTGTAAGGTTTACAGTACAACTCTCTGGAGGGGTGAATGGCATAAATACAAATCATTATTGGACCTAATAGACCTAATAGCATTTGCTTCCATACATTTCGCACGTGAATGGCACTGTAGCAATGTTTAACCATGCCTGATTGCTTCACGTTCTTGCAACCACTGCTGCTGGTAGGCTGTGTTTCATTACCATTCTGCTGGCTGTCAGCATTTCCATGATACAATTAGAGGCATGTAATTCCCAGAACAAATGAGCTATTTCGAATATTGTGAGATGTGTAATTCAATATTATATGGGCCTGTAGAATAAATGAGTTTAGAGAAACAAATATGCAGGAGTTTGGGCTGAACAACCTGTCAGATGAATGACCTGCCGGTCCCCTTGCCTTCTGATGCAATCACGGGTGGGGACGTGGCATATAAGGAGAGTGACTATTAAAACACAACAGATACCTGCTGTTCCTTTGATGCCGTGTGAATGCTGTACTTGCCTATTAAGAACTAGGATTTCATTTCTCCCTTGCAACTTTGGACAGTAGAATTCAAATAAGTGAGAACTGTAAATGTAAACTCTGACTTGAATAAAGAACTTTTTGGTAAATAAATTATTTTGTTCTTCTATTTTCCTGTGACATAGATTCATCCAGAACTGAAAATTATTCACGTTTTTTTCAAGAACACACACATGGCTTTGAACCTTTAGTTTCTATATTTAAATTTAACTAATCAAACTGCTTTTACTTATTCTTCAAGTTGTCTGCTAATACAGGGGATGTATGTAATTGCTGGTAGAGATATGTAATAACAGGGCCAATCCCCTATAGGGGATATACAGCTGGAAGGGGACTTGAGAACCCAAACCTCTACTGAACAAAGAGAAGGCCTTTTATGTATGGTTGCATCAATCTGGGCAGAGCTCATACTACACCCGGGCTTCCCAATATCCCATTACCTGTAACCACCCAATGAATTCATTTGGCCCACTGCCCAGATAGAGCCAACTTATCAAGACAGAGGATTGCAACAGAGGAAGAATTTAATTCACACAGAGCCGGCTGAATTGGAGGCTGGAGTTTTATTACTCAAATCAGTCTCCATGAAAATTTGGAAGCTAGGGTTTTCAAGGGGTAGTTTGGCAGGCTAGGGAATGGATGTTGCTGATTTGTTGGGGTGCAATCATAGGAGTGTGGAAAATGGTCCTCTTGTGGGCTCAGTCTTCTTCTGGGTGGAACCATCTGTCATCAGAAATGCAAAAATCTGAAAAGACACCTCACAAGGCCAATCTTAGCTTCTACAAGTGTGATGTTATTTGCAGGAGTAATTGGGGAACTTGCAAATCCTGTGACCTCTAGAATAATGGCTGGATATCATTTATGTCTACACCTTACCAGAATTCAGGCTCCTTATCCTCCAAACCTGGTGCTCTGTCCTCAGTTTTACAAACATGGTTTAGTTTGGAGGAAGGGCTATTATCATTTAAACTATAGACTAAATGTCTCCTGAAGTTAGCTTGGCTCAAGGCCAGGAAGGATTAAGGGCAGTTTGGAGGTTAAAGACAAGATGGGGACTGGTCAGATCAGATCGTTTTAACTATCATCATTTTCTCACTGTTATAATTTTTGCAAAGGTGATTTCACACTGATCCTGCTAAGCTGCATATGGTCACCCAAGGTCACTTTGTATGGGGCCTGGTGAGAGATGCCTGTTGCAGCTGTACCCTTCCTGAGGTCAAGGGCAAATGCCTCCCTGTGTTCCTCTGATCTTGTCTCACCTCTTCCATTTCCCCATTCTTGATTTCTTACCCACAACCTTTTTCATTTTTCCTCAATGGGTTCATCTATTAAGGACCCCAATTCATAACTTATTCAAGTGTGTGTACCTGTTTATTTAGTTTGCAGATAGCACAATACACTATATGGTGAGTTCTAACATGTTCTAGAAGCCTGAAAACTATCTCTCTGTAATACTGGTGTTTCTTTAAAGCCTTTCTACCTTGGATTGTCTCCACCTCATCTCTGAGGTGGCAGAGGTAGAACATTCCTTCTTAGAGCTCCCAAGATGGGGCAGGCTGCTCCCAAGATGGTGGCAAGCCTCGTGTTCTCTGACCTGGGGTTCCTGGCCTCACGGATTCCAAGGAATGAAACCTTGGGCCATAGGGTGAGTGTTATAGCTATATTAGAAGCCGTGGGTCACGGAAGAGAACCATGGAACCCAGCGACTAGTGTTTAGCTCAGTTAGGACAAACCTGGGCACTTAGCCGTGCAGGAACAATGGCGAGCCTTTAGCCCAATTGGGAGCAGCAATGGGCACCTCACTGGATGGGGAGCACAGCGGACACCCTGCCAAATCCAGAGGGGTGGAAGTCAGTGGTGGGTCTGCGACCGCAGCAAACAGCAGTGGTGGATGGCAAGCGAAAGCTCAGCTCGAGCCGTAATAAACACGGACCAGAAAAGTGTGCAGTTGCAAGATTTAATAGAGTGAAAACAGAGCTCCCATACAATGGGAGGGGACCCAAAGGGGGTTGCCACTCCCTGTTGAATGCTTGAATGCCTGGGTTTATATCCTGATCATTGTCCCTTCCCCTCTGCTCTCAGGCGATATATGATTTGACTATTTCGTTACCTCCTGCTTTAGCCTAATTTGTATTTTAGTGAGCCCTCTGTAGTACCTGACTGGTTGGGTGTGAGCCAAGTTACAAGCCCCGTGTTTAAAGGTAGGTGTGGTCACCTTCCCCAGCTAGGCTTAGGAATTCTTAGTTGGCCTAGGAAATCCAGCTAGTCCTGTCTCTCAAGGGTACCAAATTAGAAAGAATTAAGCAACAGAAATGTCCCAAGCATAGGGGAATGGTTGACACATGGTACATCTATATAATGGAATATTTTAAAACCATTAACTAAGTTTTCAAACAAGTACTTACTGACTGTAATGACTTTGGGAAATGCTCACAATAAACCATTCAGGGATAAGCAGAAAGTACTTTTGTGGAATTTCAGTAAATTTCAGATTGATGCAATCTTAGGCAAAAGGACTTCTCTTTGTTCAGTAGGGGTTTGGGTTCTCTAGTCCCCTTCCAGTTGTACATGGGGTATTCTAGAATTCATGGTTTCAGCTCTTCATGAGTAACGCCGAGGGTCCAGCCATGTTGTAATGTTACTGAGGGAGATACCTGAATCCGCAGCCTCTGAGTCTATTCCACAGAGAAGGGTGGTCACTTAGGCAAAGGGGAAGCCAGCGGCCACTGTGTCTGGACATTCCCATGGCCACACAGTTCGTTGTTTTCTACTTTCAGGTGCTCACTCACTGACTTAGTGATCAATTCCATTTCTGTAGAAAATGTGCCCCTCCCAGCCAAGGGCATCAACAGTGAGTGCAGCTGATAAAAATGAAACCGTTAAAAAAGCCAATGGTTCTTAGAAGATTTAACTCACTTCAAAAGTGCAGAATGCCAAATTCAGTAATGACTTTAAATTGTGAAGTGACTGAGGCTGCCATACATTTTGTTCTTGTATGTAAACAAGAACAAGCCATTTGAGGAATTGCTGTGAGAATTCTAAGCTGTGCAAAAATTGTTCAAGTGAAAATAAATTTTGATGAGAGCTGAAAAAGGTGGTTAGCTGGCAGTTTAGAGATGTACACAAAAGCAAGTTCCTCTCACATGAAATATGAATGACTTGTTAGAACCCCAGGAGTTTGTGCAAACAATCCTCTGACCCTACAGTCGAAGAAGTCATTGATATTACTGTTCAACCCATCACCTATCATAGGCAAGTAGGAGGAGAGGCTGTTCCCATCCATAGAGACGTATTTCCTCCAGAGCAGAAGGGCTGCTGGAGGAGCCTGGGAGGATGTGCTTTCAGGATATACCAAACCTTGTGAGGTAGGAGGCAGAACTCAACTCCAGAGGTGGGGATTGCACAAAGGACCACATTGAGGACTAGCTAAAACAGGTCCAGGGCAGAAGCTCCTCCCCATAAGACATGCCCACCAGTGTGTTATGTCAGTCTACCATTGCCATGGCAACACCCAGAAGTTACCATTCCTTTCCGTGGCAACTACCTGACAGCCTGCAAGTTACCACCTGTATTAGTCCATTTTCACGCTGCTGATAAAGACATACCCAAGACTGCGAAGAAAAAGAGGTTTAATTGGACTTATAGTTCCGCATGGCTGGGGAGGCCTCAGGACCATGGCAGGAGGTGAAAGGCACTTCTTACCTGGCAGCGGCAAGAGAAAATGAGGAAGATGCAAAAGCAGAAACTCCTGATAAAACCATCAGATCTCGTGAGACTTATTCACTACCACGAGAACTGTATGGGGGAAACGGCCCCCATGATTCAAATTATCTCCCATCAGATCCCTCCCACAACACGTGGGAATTATAGGACTAAAATTCAAGATGAGATTTGGGTGAGGACACAGAGCCAAACCATATCACCACCCTCATTGTAGAAATTTCTGCATAAACCGCCCCTTAATTTGCATGTAATTAAAAGTGGGTATAAATATGAGTGCAGAATTACCTCTGAGCTGCTACTCTGGGCTCCCTGCCTATGGGGCAGCCCTACTCTGCAAGGAGCAGTACCTCTGCTGCCGTACACTGCTGCTTCAATAAAAGTTGCTGCCTAACACCACCAGCTTGCCCTTGAATTCTTTCCTGGATGAAGCCAAGAATCCTCCCTGCTATACCTCAGTTTTGAGGCTTGCCCGTTCTGCATCGCTTGCACAGTATTCAAAGAAAAGCCTCCACCAACGAGGCTTAAAGGCAGCCAAGGCCAAATGCCCTTCCAGCTTTGAGCGACGAGGCAGGCTCCACGACTGGGGAGCTACTTTTTAAATGAAGTCCAAAATGTTAAGCGGAAAGATTAAAACATTTCTGACTGGTTTTGTAGGTCTGTTTTGTCAGAGTGCTATTTATGGATTTGGGGACAGGTGAATTGTATTTAATGATATGAATAAGATTTTAATGTTCATGGGAGATTTGTCAATGTTCAATTTATCTGTGATTTGTCTGTGTCAAACACATGTATGCACATAGACAAATATATAGAAGAATGAAGGGGAAGCGAGGGTGGGAGAAGGAAAGGAAATAAAGAAGGAAAGTCACAAAGACCGGATTGTAAGAGAGTTTTGCTTGTGCTCATCATGAAGCATCAGGCATTAGACTAGCCTCCCCATTTGTTCTAAGACTGGACACAATCTATAAAACAACTGTTTTCAAATGTTAGCAGCACTGGCCTGCAATCTAAGAAAGAAGGAAGAACCAAGGCGAACCGTGCATTCACCTTGCTCTCTGACTGGAAGCCGTTTCTGCAGGGGAGAGAAAACAATGTCTTTTCTTTCCTTTTTTAGGTTCTTAGTTGAGACACTTTCCTGAAAACAAAAGTCAGATTAACACAATAAAGACAAGCACAAGTTTGTACCCAGCACATGGGAGAGGCCTCAGTTCACAAGTATTTCTCTCTTAAGGCTTATGGGCTTTGCTTACGGAGTATTTTAACAAACAGTCATAAATCCTACACAGTGACAAGACAAAGGAGAGGGCAGCTCCGGTCTTTTAAAAGGAGGGAACCTGTGGGAAGTCAGTGAGATCTGCGCCCAGATTCCCCTGGTGCTGGCTGGGGCCCTCTCTGGGCTGATGAGCAGGTGCCATCCCCAGGAAGGAAGGATGGATGTCCTGGTGTATGGCAAACAGGGGCAGAGGTGGAGAGCTCCCTATGTTTTCAGTGTCTTTAACTTAGCAATTCTCAATACTTTGGGGAGAACTATTTTGGTTTCCTCCATTTCTGAGCCATGATGTAGGGAGAAGGAGGGAAACTGAGCACACCTGTCTTGCTGAACTAGGGACAGAGATGGGGGTTGGGGGCTGGTGAGGGTTGATGGATTTTGCAGGGTAGAGTGCTGGAGAGGAGGGATCTATGTAGAAAAAGAGCTCCATGAATCTGCAAAGCGATTCTGTTGTCTGAATACTAAGCAGTATTTTCACTAGGTGAGATTCAATGTGATCAAGAAATGAACCACCCCTAGGGAGCTGTGGGCTCCACAGAGCTCCTGGCTCTTTCACAGGCTGAGAAGGTGTTGAAGTTTGACCATCCGAGGCAGAGATACCATGTTGAGCTCTCTGGGCCCTCCACGGTCACCTCTAGAATGCCATGATTTGGGAGTAGGCCTTAATTAGCCCTACAGTAATGGCTACTACAAAACACGTTTCTCAACCTTGCATTATTAATGTTCTGGGCCTGACAATCCTTTGTTGGAGAGGGGTCTGTACCATGCAATATGGAATATTTACCAGCATCCCTGGCCTCTACCCACTATATGCCACTAGCAGGTTCCAGTTGTGAAAATTAAAAAAAAAAAAAATTGACCCCCAGTTAGAACCACTACTCTAGATTCTTCATAACAAAACTCATAATAAATTTCAAAAAGACAAGGATGATTTGCAAGTAAATTAACTGTGGCAAAGCAAACCTTGATGTTCTTGAAAGAAAGATAACAAAATCCATACTGCAAACAAGGCTGAATTCATAATGTTCAGCATGCAAACCACAGTGAATAGTGTGTGTGTGATACAGATTGCTTGATAAAGAGCTTACGTCCCTAGTTGCTGTGATTGCTTTTGGCAGGCAGCCTTCAGTTGTTAGGCTCCTTAAGGGTTTGTCTCAGTAAAAAGAGTTGCCTTGTCTCAGGCCACATCTCCTTACTGGAGTAGCCTACACCTCACCCAGTGACTGATTGACAGAGGGGTATAAAGGCCTGATTTCCTTGCTTCAAGCTGGGAAATCTCTGCAAAGCCACACCGACTCCAGAGCTTATGGTGGGGTCAACTGGTGCTTTCTTTGGGACTATACGGCAGCTTAATTTCTCCTATCCATTCTTACTTTCTTTCCCTCCTTTCTGCAGGTGTTGGTTGTAAAGTTCTCCCTAATAAGTGTGCTACATTATAATCTCCATCTCAGAGTCATATTTCAGGGGAATTCAATGTGCAACACAAGAAAAAAGTCATTAGATGTGTGAAAAAGCAGCAGGAACCTGTAACCAAGAATCAAGAGAAAAATTAGTCAGTAGAACAGAAACAGAAATGACAGATCTGATGTAATTAGAGGAAACATACTTCAAAACAGCAGTCATAAATATGCTCAAAGATTTAAAGGAAACCAGAGGTATAATGAGGAAAGATCTTAACAGAGAAATAAAAGCTATAAAAATGAACCAAATGGTGATGATACACTGAAAGACATAATATATAAAATAAAAAATTAGCTGGGTGCTCTTAACAACAGATTAGGCGCTACAGGTAAATGGTCAGTAAAGTAGAAAACTGGATAATAAAAGCTATTCAAAATAAAACACTGAGAGGAAACTTACTGGAAAAGAATTGAACAGAGCCTCAGTGTCCTGTGAGACAATATCAAGTAGAATAATGTGTCATTTGAGTTGCAAAAGAAGAAAAAAGATTTTGAGGGCCCAAAGAATATTTGAAGTAACAATAGCTGGGAATTTTCAATATCTGATGAGAAATAGAAATTCATAGGTCCCAGAAACTCAAAAAAATTAAAGCAGAATAAATGAAACCACATAAAAGCATATCATAATCAAATTCTAAAAGCAAATGATGAAACTAAAAATTTAGAAGCATCCAAAGAAAAAGGGCACATTATACAAAGGACAACTGTGACAGTAATTTTACTGACTTCTTAAATTAAACAATACAAGACAGAAGAAAATGGAATTGTCTTTAAAATACTTAAAGGAAAAAAAATCTGTCAATGTAGAATTGTATATCCAGGAAAAATATCCTTCACAAATGAAGTTTTAATAAAAAACTTTTAGATAAATAAAAGGTGACAAAAGTTGTCTATAACAAGCCCATTCTATAAGAAATATTTTAGAAAGTTATTCATCCTGAAGGAAAATGATACCAGAAGGAAATTTGGCTCTGTAAGATAATGTATAGCACCAGGAATGGCAAATATGTGGGTAAACATAGAATACTTTTTCTTGTTTCATTATTTATTTAAAAGATAACTTATTGTTTAAAATAAAATTAACAACAATGTATTGTGGGGCTCATAATATACAAATGATTAAAACGTATAATAACAATAGCACAAAGGGCGGGCTAAGTGGAAGTATGCTAGTTGTAAGTTTCTTAGATTGTATGTGAAGTGGTATAATTGGACGTTAGACTGTGGTAAGTTAAAGATACATATTGTCATCCCCAAAGAAGCCAGTAAACTTAAAAAAAACTAGTAAGGGTGATAACACTGATTTAGAAGTATTAAAAAATTAAAAAAACTAACCAACCAACCAATCCAACAGGAAAGAATATGGGAGAAAAGGAAACAACAGACAGGCCAGTAGAAAACATGTAACAATATGATATACTTAGCCCAACCATATCAAGCATTATATTAAATAGAAATGTACTAAATACTCCAGTTTAAAGGCAAAAATTATATGCTAGGAGAACCAGCATGTCTTTATCTATTTTGTGTTCTATAATAGAATATCTGAGACTGTGTAATTTATAATGAACAGGAATGTATTTATTATAGTTCTGGAGGCTGAGAAGTCCAAGAGCATGGAACCAGCATCTGTGAAGGCCTTCCTGCTGTGTCATAACATGGCAGAGTGCATCACAGTGCATCACATGGTGAAAGGGCAAGACTGTGCCAGCTTGGGTCTCTCTTCCTCTTCTTTTCTTTTCTTTTTTTTTTAAATTTGAGGTGGAGTCTCACTCTGTTGTCCAGGCTGGAGTGCAGTGGCGTGATCTCGGCCCACTGCAGCCTCTGCCTCCCAAGTTCAAGTGATTCTTGTGTCTCAGCCTCCAGACTAGCTGTGATTATAGGCGTGCACCACCATTTTTGTATTTTTAGTACAGACGGGGTTTCACCACATTGGCCAGGCTGGTCGCGAACTTCTGGCCTCAAGCAATCCACCTGTCTTGGCCTCTCGAAGTGCTGGGACTATAGGCGTGAGCCACCGCACCCGGTCTTTTCCTATTTTTATAAAGCCATCCATTTCATCATAGGGACCCCACCATGAAGAGCTTATCTAATCCTTTTTACCTTCCAAAGGCCCCACCTCCAAATACAATTAGCATATGAATTTGGTGATTGAGTTTCTAACACATTAAATTTGGGAAACACATTTAAACCATAGCACAGTAAGGCTATATACAATTTTCTATGAGATGTACTTTAAAGGCTATATACCATTTATATGAGATGCACATTAAACATGAAGAAAAAATAGGTTAGATATAAAAAAGACAAAGGAGGAGGTATCATGCACATATTAATCATGAGAAAGCTGCTGTTATGGACACAATTGTATTCCCTCCATATTCATGTGTTGCAGTCCTAACCTCCACTTCCACACTGTGACTATATTTGGAGATAGGGCCTTTAAGAAGGTAATTAGATTAAATGAGGCCATAAGGGTGGGGTCCTGCATTGGTTCGCTTTGCATTCCTATAAAGGAATACCTTAGGCTGGGTAATTTATAAGGAAAAAAGATTTATTTGGCTCATCGTTCTGCAGGCTGTACAAGAAGCATGATACTGGCATCTGCTCAGCTTTTGGTGAGGGCCTCAGAAAGATTTTACTCATGGTGGAAGGCAGAGGCGAAGTAGGCAAGTCATGTGATGAGACAGAGAGCTAGAGTGTGGGGTGGGGAGGTCCCACACTCTTTAACAATCAGCTCTTGCATGACCTAATAGAGCAAGAACTCATTTGTTTCTTTGGGGAGGGCCTGAAGCCATTCATGAAGGATCTGCCCCCGTGGCCCAAACACCTCCCACTAGGTTCCACCTCCAACACTGGGGATCACATTTCAACATTAGATTTGTAGGTCACAAGCATTAAAACTATATCAGGACCTGAACTAATAGGACTGCTGTCCTTATAACAAGAGGAAGAGAAACCATCATGCTCTCTCTCTCTCTTTGCCTGCCTGCCCAGAGAAAAGGCCATGTGAGGACACAGCAAAAAGGGGGCCATTTGTGAGCCAGGAAGAGACACATGGCGAGAAATTAGTTATGCTGCACTCTGGTCTTGAACTTCCAGCCTTCAGAACTGTAAGAAAATTAATTTCTGTTGTTTAAGCTACTCACACTGTGGTATTCTGTTATGGCAGCCCAACTAGACTACTATGGCTGGAATGGCTCTGTTGATATCAGACAAATTAGACTTTGGAACAAGGAATCTAACCAGAGATAAGAAGAAGATTTCATAATGATCAAGTATCAATTCATCAGGAGGAAAATCTTAGATATGGAGAGGTTTCCCCATATCTCCCTCCAAAGAAGGACCTCCTGCCCAGCTGTAAGGAGTGTAGTCAGTAAATGGACTGCCAGGTCTGCCCCTTCAGGGCCTACCTTAACTCTAGAGAGCTGGCTAAAGCAAAGTCACACCCTCCCTAGGGCAATCCACATCTCGAGTGAGGTGGGCTATAAAGACCCAGATATTTTGGCCTGATGTGAGATCTTAGGATGGGCAATTCTCACTCCAGAGCTCTCCATGAATGGTCAAACGTTTTATCTCTGCTAAAATTCTGTCATTGATTTTCAAATCTAGAAATTCTATGCAGGAGAAGATATAGTCTTACTCTGAAATATTAGAGGTCTATACTGAGACTCTCCTATTGGGGTTTTTCAGATACTTATTTACTTTTATACCCCCAGTGTCCTGGATCTGCTGTGCATATGGACCAATGGGGAGGCAATTGAGTTTGCTACAGAACTCTCTTCTGCTCTGGAACATACTTGAAACTAGATTTTGGAAATAGCATATGTTATACTTGGGAATAGTACTCCACTTATTGTCAGTTGACTTGGAGGGCTGCTGAAGAGGCCCACTAAGAAGTGGGTCTTTTTAGTCATGGGAATACAAGGTACAACAACTTATCCTTTACTATAGAGGTTATTTACTTGTTATTTATTTTTATTTTTAAAATTTTAGATTTATGGTAGACATGCAGGTTTGTTACATGAATATAATGTATAATGTTGGGATTTGAGCTTCTAGTGTACCCATCACCCAAATAGTCAACACTGTACCCAAGAGGTAATTTTAAAATCCATATCTCCCTCTCACTTGCCTTCTTTTGGAGTCCCCAGTGGCTATTATTTTGATCTTTATGTCCATGTCTACCCATTGTTTAGCTCTCACTTATGAGTGAGAACATGTGGTGTTTGATTTCATTTCTTTGGTTATTTCACATAGGATAATCGCCTCCAGCTTCATCCATGTTGCTGTGAAGAATGTGACCTTTTTTTTTTTTTTTTTTTTTTTTTGCTATGGAGTCTCATTCTATTGCCAGGCTAGAGTACAGTGGCTTGATCTTGGCTCACTGCAACCTCTGCCTCCTGGGTTCAAGCAATTCTCCTGCCTCAGCCCCCCAAGTAGCTGGGACTACAGGTGTGCACCACCACGCCCAGCTAATTGTATTTTTAGTAGAGATGGGGTTCCACCATGTTGGCCAGGATGGTCTTGATCTCTTGACCTCATGATCCACCCGCCTTGGCCTCCCAAAGTGCTGGGATTACAGGTGTGAGCCACCTCACCTGGCCCGATCTCATTGTTTTTTATGACTGCATAGTATTCCATGGTGTATATATACCACATTTTCTTTATCCAATTAACTGCTGATGAAGACATAGGTTGATTCCATGACTTTGAAATCGTGACTAGTACTGCAAAAAACATGAATGCAGGTATCTTATTATATGATGATTTATTTTCCTTTGGGTAGATGCCCAGTACTGAAATTGCTAGGTTGAATGGTAGGTCTATTTTTAATTGTTTGAGAAAGCTCCATACTGTTTTCCATAGTGGTTGTATTAATTTACATTCTCATCAATAGTGTATAAACATTCCCTTTTCTCCACATTCATACCAACATCTGTTGTTTTCTGACCTTAACAATAGCCATTCTGACTGGTGTAAGATGGTATCTTATTGTGGTTTTAATACTTATTTCTCTGATGATCAGTGATGTTGAGCATTTCTTCATATGTTTTTTGGCCACTTGTTTGTCTTCTTTTGAAAAATGTGTATTCATAAGAGAAACTCTTCTTGACATTGATCTTTGCTCACTTTTTAAAGGTGCTGTTTGTTTCTTACTGAGTTGTTTTGAGTTCCTTATAGATTCTGGCTATTAGTCCTGTGTCAGAGACATAATATGCACATGTTTTCTTCCATTTTGTAGGTTGTCTGTTTGTTCTGTTGATTATTACCTCTTTCACTGTGCAGAAGCTCTTTGGTTTAATTGGGTCCCAGATATTAATTTGTGTTTTTGTTGGATTTGCTTTGGGGGTGTTAGTCATAAATTCTTGGCTGAAGTCAATGTCTAGGAGAGTTTTTTCTAGCCTTTCTTCTAGAATCAGTTTCAGGTATTAAGTCTTTAATTCATCTTGAGTTAATTTTTGTATATGGTGATAGGGGTCCAGCTTCATTCTTCTGCATATGGTTAGCCAATTTTCCCAGGACCATTTATTGAATAGGGTGTCCTATCCCCACTGTTTCTTTTTGTCAGCTTTGTCAAAAATCAGTTCATTGAAGGTATGTGGCTTGATTTCTGTGTTCTCTATTCTGTTCGCATTATTCTATGTGTCTATTTTTGTACTAGTACTATGTTGTTTTAGTCACTATAGCCTTGTAGTATAATTTGAAGTCAGGTAATGTGATGCCTCCAGCTTTGTTCTTTTTGCTTAGAATTGCTTTGGTTATTTGGGCTCTTTTTTGGTTCCATATGAACTTTAGGATTTTTTTTTCTAATTCTGTGAACAATGATGTTGGTAATTTCATTGGTGTTGAATCGAATCTATAAATTGCTTTGGGAAGTATGCTCATTTTAATGGTATTAATTCTTCCAATCCATGAGCATAAAATTTTTTTCCATTTGTTTGTGTCATCTATAATTTCTTTCATTAGTGTTTCGTAATTCTCCTTATAGAGTTATTTCACCTCCTTGGCTAATTGTATTCCTACGTATGTTATTTTTTTCTGTGGCTAATGGACATGGGATTGAGTTCCTGATTTGGTTCTAAGTTTGAATGTTGTTGGTGTATAAAAATGCTACTGATTATTGTATGTTGGTTTTACATCCTGAAACTTTACTGAAGTTGTTTATCAGGTCTAGGAGTCTTTTGGGTTTTCTAGGTATAAGATCATGTCATCAGCAAACAGAGATAATTTGACTTCTTTTTTAATTTGGATGCTTTTTATTTCTTTCTCTTGCCTAATTGCTCTAGCTAGGATTGCCAGTCCTATGTTGAATAGGAATGATGAGAATGAACATCCTTGTCTTGTTCCAGTTCTTAGGGGATTACTTTCAACTTTTTCCTGTTCAACTATTCCTTTTTCAGTATGATATTGGCTAATTCTATTAAACCAGTATCACCCTGATACCAAATTCAGGCAAAGGCACAACAAATAAAGAAAACTACAGACCAGTATCCCTGATGAACATAGATGCAAAAATCCTCAACAAAATACTAGCAAACCAAATCCATAGATGGCTTGTCATAGATGGCTTTTATTATTTTGAGGTATGTTCCTTCAAAGCTTAGTTTGTTGAGGGTCTTTATCATGAAGGAATGTTGAATTTTATAAAATGTTTTCTCTGCAACTATTGAGATGTCATATCATTTTTTTTAAATTCTGTTTATGTGGTGGATCACGTTTGTTGATTTGCAAATGTTGAACCATCCTTGCATCTCTAGAATAAAACCCACTTGATTGTGTTGAATTATCTGTTTGATGTGCTCTCTGATTTGGTTTGCTAGTATTTCGTTGAGGATTTTTGCATCTGTGTTCATCAGAGATACTGGTCTGTAGTTTTCTTTACTTGTTGTGTCTTTGCCTGATTTTGGTATCAGGGTGATACTGGTTTAATAGAATGAGTTAGGGAGGAATCCCTCTTCTCAATATTTTGGAATACTTTCAGTAATATTGGTATCGACTGTTCCTCATACATCTGGTGAGATTCAGCCATGAATCTATCTGGTCCTGGGATTTTTTTGTTGCAAGATTTTTAATTACTGATTCAATTTCATTAGTCATTATTGGTCTGTTCAGAATTTCTGTTTCTTCCTGGTTCAATCTTGGGAGGTTGTATGTTTCCAGGAATTTATTCATTTCCCGAAGGTTTTCTAGTTTGTGTGCATAGAGCCATTCATAATAATCTCTGATTATCTTTTGTATTTTTGTGATATCAGTTGTCATTTATCATTTTCTGATTGTGCTTACTTGAATCTTCTGATTTTTTTTTTTTTTTGGTTAAACTAGCCAACTTTGTTTATCCTTTCAAATAACCAGCTTTTTGTTTCATTTTATCATTTTTTTGAGTTTCATCTTATTTAGTTCTGCTCTGATCTTTGCTATTTCTTTTTTTCTGCTAGCTTTGGGTTTGATTTCTTCTTGTCTTTCTGGTTCCTTAAGTTGTGACATTAGTTTGTTAATTTGAGTTCTATCTTTTTGATGTAGCCATTTAATGCTATAAACTTTCCTCTTAGCACTGCTTTTGCTGTATCCCAGAGGTCTTGGTATGTTGTGTCTCTATTTTCATTCATTTCAAAAATTTTTTTATTTCTGCTTTAATTTCATTGTGTACCCAAAAATCATTCAGGAGCAAGTTGATTAGGATCCCCTTACCTGTGTAGTTTTGAGAGTTTCTCTGGGTATTGCTTTCTAACTTTATTCCACAGAGGTCTGAGAAGACAGTATGATTTCAATTTTTTTTTAGTTTATTGAGGCTTGCTTTATGGCCAAGAATATGGTCAATTTTAGAGAATGTTCCATGTACAGATGAGAAAAATGTATATTCTGCAGTTGTTGGGTAGAATGTTCTGTAAATGTCTATTCAATCTTTTTGATATATAGTCCAGTTTAAGTCCAGAGTTCATTTGACTTTCTGCCTTGAAGACCTGTTTAGTACTGCTGTGGAGGTGTTGAACTCCCCCACTATTGTTATATTGCTGTCAATCTCTTTTCTCAGGTCTGGTAGTATTTGTTTTATGAATCTAGGTGCTCTAATATTGGTATGTATATATTTAGGATAGTTAAAACTTGTACAAAACCCTTCATTATTACATAATGGCCTTCGCCTTTTTTTTTTTTACTGTTGTTGGTTTAAAGTCTGTTATATCTGATATAAGAAAGGCTATGACTGCTTTATTATGTTTTGCATTTGCATATGTCTTTTTTCACCCCTTTACTTTGAGATTGTAGGTGTCTCTAGCCATTAGGTAGGTCTCTTGTAGGCAGTAGAGGGTTGTCTCTTGTTTTTCTAAATCCAATTTTTCAGTCTATATTTTTTAATTGGAGCATTTAGGCCATTTATGTTCAAGGTTAATATTGATATGTGAGGTTTTGTTTCTGTCATAGTTTTATTAGTTAGTTGCCTTAAAGTCTCAATTGTCTAATTGCTTTATAGGATCTTTGAGCTTTCTAGTTAAACGTGCTTTTATGATGGTGAGTAATATCTGTTCATTTCCATTTTTAGAATTCCTCTGAGCATTTCTTGTAGGGCCAGTCTAGTGGTGATGAGTTCCCTTAGGACTTGCTTGTCTAGGAAATACTTTATTTCTTCTTTATTTATGAAGCTTAGTTTGGCAGCATACAAAATTCTTGACTGGCATATTTTTTCTTTAAGGAGGCTAAAAATAGGTCCCCAATCTCTTTTGGCTTATAAAGTTTCACCTGATAAGCCTCTTGTTTGTCAGATGGGATTTCTTTTATTGGTGATTTGACACTTCTCTTTAGCTGCTTTTAACATTTATTTTTTCACATTGACCCTGTATAGTCTGGTAACTATATGCCTTGGTGATGTTCATTTATATGGCATCTTTCAGGTGTTTTCTGAATTTCTTGCATTTGTATGTCTATGTCTCTATCAAAATCAGGAAAATTTTCCTGAATTATTTCCTCAAATATATTTTCCAGGCTTCCTACTTTTTCTTCTTCTCTCTCAGGAATGCCAATAAGTTGTAGGTTTGGTTGCCTTACGTAATCCTATATCTATTGAAGTTTTTGTTCATTTAAAAAATTTCCTTTGTATTTTTATCTGACTGGGTTAATTTAAA
The DNA here is from genome assembly GCF_000001405.40 of Homo sapiens. Classification (NCBI taxonomy): domain Eukaryota; kingdom Metazoa; phylum Chordata; class Mammalia; order Primates; family Hominidae; genus Homo; species Homo sapiens. The sequence goes on from NC_000007.14 coordinate 153,168,913, forward strand.
GGACCAGTCTTCAAGCTCTGAAATTCTTCAAGTTCTGAAATTCTTTTTTCTGCTTGGTCTAGTCTATTGTTGTAGCTACTAACTGTGTTTTAAAATTTCTTCAGTGAATTTCTCATTTTCAGAAGTTCTGTGTGATGGATGATTGGACTGAATGATGCAAAGCATTGATCCTGGGTGTATCTGTGAGAGTGTTGCCAAAAGAGATTAACATTTGAGTCAGTGGGCTGGGAAAGGTGGACCTACCCTTAATCTGGGTGGGCACCATCTAATCAGCTACCAGAGCGGCTAGAATATAAAGCAGGCAGAAAAACATGAAAAAGACTTGATCGCCTAGCTTCCCATCCTACATCTTTCTCCTATGCTGGATACTTCTTGCCCTCGATCCTCAGACTCCAAGTTCTTCAGTTTTGGAACTCGGACTGGCTCTCCTTGCTCCTCAGCTTGCAGATGGTCTATTGTGGGGCCTTGTGATCATGTGAGTTAATACTTAGTAAACTCCCCTTTATATATATATATATATATATATATATATATATATATATATATATATATATATATATATATCCAGTTAGTTCTGTCCCTCTCAAGAACCCTGATTAATACATTCTGTTTACTTGTTTGCTGTCATTGTTTCAACGTTTCCCTCATCTTTCATTTCCTGAACTGTTTTTCTGGTTTCTTTGTGTTGATTTTCAGCTTTCTCTTGGATCTCATTGACCTTCCTTACAATTCATATTTTGAATTATTTATCTGTCATTTCAAAATTTCATTTTGGTTATGATTCATTGCTACAGAGACAGTGTGGTCCTTTGGGGTGGTCTCGACATTCTGTTTCTTCATGGTACTGGAGTTCTTGTGCTGGTTCCTTCTCATCTATAGAAGCTGCCACTGCTTATTTTTGAATTTACTTTTGTTTGGGTGGGATGTCCCCCTACCCCAAGGATGTAACTATTACAGAATGTTGAGTACAGTCTTTTGGCTTTGCCTTTATCACCCTGTGAACTTCTGTTGTCATGTTTTCCATTGGGTTCTGCAGCTTGAGGTACAGGCCAATAGGATGTGCTTCAAGGTAAGAGCCAGCTGATGTGCTTCAATGTAAAAGCCAGCTGTGGCAATAGCAGATGGGCACGTACTTGATCTCTGTTTACTGTGAGATGCTCTCTGTTCTTTCAAATTCCAGGGTTGGACCCTGGAATTTCCAGTGCCCTGAACTTCCTGTTCAGTGGTGGTGTGAGAGTGGGACATAGCTGGGCACATCTTGACCATCTGGCTTGCCCACAAATACCTCAATGATGAGCGTGGGCACCAGCTCTGATGGGAGTGTTTGGGGGAGCTCCAGTGGAACACACAAAGGTCTCTGCAAGGGGTGAGGAGGGACGCACTGGCTCCATGTCCTAGATAGGCAGGAATGAGATCTGTTGCCCTGTCACATTCTGTCCTGGGGCTCACGACTCTCAGTTCAGACCTGCACTCTTGTCTTTCTCTAGGCCACAGTGTAGCTGACAGCCATGAAAGATGTCTGTCTTGTGGTTCTTTGTAGGAGTCGTTTCGGGGTGGAAGCTCCTCACTCAGCCTGCTATAGACAGCTTTGTGGCTTTGTGGCCTGCCTGTTCTCCAATGTGTAATGCTGCTGCTTTGTGTAGAGATGGGGAGGGGCTCCACTTTTCAGCATGTTCAAATGAGTGTCAGCTGTGGTGGTGTTGGCTGATGGGGTTGGTCTGAACTCAGACCCTGGTGGGGAGTGGTCAGATGCCCACATTAGTAGATGGGGCTAGGTAAACCCCCAACCCCCAGGCCCCTAGATGGCCCACTGGATGGTATGTATGAGTCCTGAGGGACTGAACTGGGACCGAGACTGGGCCAGTGGGCTTATTCTCAGGTCCCCAGAATTCAGGTGCTGGTCGTTAGGGGGTGGGCTGGTCTGGAGGTCATCAGCAAAACTCTCAGGCAGGGGCAGGCAGAATGCACAGGCAGTGGCTGATGCTCAGGCAATGGGAGCCCCAAGGCAGATCATAGGCCTGTGGGGCTGGGATCTCAAAAGGGCTCTGAGCGGCAGCTGGAATGGCTGCGTGGGGAGCAGCGTAGCTGAGCTGCGGGCTTTTCACTGGAGAAGGCAGGCCCCTTCAGCTGGAGCAATGGAGGATGGGAGCTTGGGGCATGTGGCTTGCTGACACTTCCCTCCTACTGGAGCAGCACCGGATTTTGCTGTTAGGGGCATGTTAAGGTGCCCGGTTTCTTCACCCCCTCCCTGTCCTGGAGTGTCAGGGGCCGCAGCGGCAGTGGTGGCAGCGGCAGTGGTGGCAGCAGCCACTGCTGTGGGAGTCAAAGAGGGGGTCACCAGCCCCTGCGGGTTGGGTTCTCAGAGGAACCTCGGCTGCAGCTAAAATGCATATTAGAGGGCATGGCGGCTGCATTGTGGACCTGATGCAGAAGAAGGCAGGTCCTGTTTAGCAGGGAGCTGCTGGGGCAGGCAGTTGTATGAGGCGTAGTCTGGCTGTTACTCCATACCATGGCTGCAGTATCTTTCAGGCACATAAAAGAGCCCAGCCTCCCTGTTCTGTGAAAGGATATGTTGATGCACTCTGGACCACTGGACGTATAAAACTTCACCATTATGGCAAGATGGCGAGCTCCAGCAACTGGCCAGAATAGGTCTCACTACGACATCTAGACATGACATGACTTGCAACATTTAATGTTTTACAATGCTGGTAGTGATTTGGAAATACCACTGGAATCAACAGCTTAGGAGTCTAAATTATTTTTCTTGTGTTCAAGCTACCAATATATTTCCTTTTCATTTGAATTGTTATTCTGGAAACTTTTGAAGCCAGCAGAGGTGAAGCAAAGATATTGGTCTACATTTCCTACATTTTAGCTTTCAGCTACAGTTCCCTCTTTACTATGGCTGAACATATATCTCCTTAGGGTGTCTCTACTGTTCACGGATTTTGAATCTCTGAAAGAGAAATATCTTTGGGGAATGTGAAGAGAACCACACTTGTACTACATCTGCGGGCTCTCTTTTCCGCAGTAATTCCATAATAATAAACATGTTTAAAAATCCATTACAATGGTAAATCTGGAGATGGTGGATTGTTTTGAATTTGTATCAGTAGCATAAACAATTTCACACTTCAAATGGAATTTCTACTAAAACACTCATACTAGAACATAATGTAAAACAGATAGATTTGCACAAATAAGATATTGCTACTTTGTTTTAAGATATTGCTGCTTTGTTTTAAAATATTGGCATAGATAAAAATGTATTATTCATATCAACTCTTTTCATTGCTTTGAAACTGAAAATTACTTATGTTGCCAGCTCTGAATAAATATGTGTTTGTGCCTTGGCAACCATGATATGTTCATCTAGTTTGGTGTGAAATGTGGAACTATCTCATGCTTCACAGTTTTACCTTCTATTCTTTAGGGTCTTTTTGCCTTGTCCTCTTTATATGTCTATTTTTGGGGGGCTGGGGTGAGGCTGGTGGCTTCATAGAGTTCTTCTTTGTCTGAGTCCTACAGATCATCTTGTGGCAGGGATCTGGGCTGGGTTGAGGGATGGGCATGAGTTTGGGCTGGTAGAGGCTATAAGTCCAATTGTCCAAAAATAAAGTTCAAGGACATATCAGTCTATGTTCATACTGCTATAAAGAACTGCCTGAGACTGGGTAATTTTTAAAGAAAAGAGGCTTAATTGACTCACAGTTCAGCATGGCTGGGGAGGCCTCAGGAAACTTACAATCATGGCAGAAGGCGAAGGGGAATCAGGGCACCTTCTTCACAAGGTGGCAGGAAGGAGGAGTGCTGAGTGAAGGGGGAAGAGCCCCTTATAAAACCATCATATCTCATGAGAACTCACTATCATGAGAACAGCATGGGCGAAACTGCCACCATGATCCAGTTACCTCCACCTGGGCCTGCTCTTGATGCATGGGGATTATGGGGATTATGGAGATTACAATTCAGGATGAGATTTTGGGTGGGGACACAGCCAAACCACATCAAAAGAGTTTCAGCCAAGGCAGGGCAATAAATCAGGCACGGTCGATCAGGGAACACTGGTTTCAGAGTGTAGGATACCAAATAGCAACATCAACTAAAAGACTGAACGATGAAATGTCAAGAATCCAGGCCAAACTGCCTAGAGAATGAGAAGCCAGAATTAAGGTAACAAATATGACAATGCCTGGATGGGGAGCAAAGATATTGGTGGGCAGGGATTCTTTTTTTTCTTTTGAGGGATTTGTGATTGAGGTCATTTACATATCAATATTAAGGACATGTGTAAAATTAGTGCTTGTTGCTATCATTGGCAACAAATACATTTGTGTATAGGGAATTAGGTTTTACTTACATTGTGAAGTATAATTAAATTATAGACTTTTACAGTAAATGTGAATCTCAGATCACAAATTTTAAAAATATCTGAACTTAATTTGTATTCAGGCCCTCATTCTACCAGTCTCAATAATTTTTGGTTTCCCTTTCTTCCTTTCCTCAAGATTACTACCAATTTCTGGGGGCAAGCATTGACTAGGGTTGCTCTTCCCTGTCATCACTCTAGGCACATTGCTGAGGATCAGTCCTCACTGCCTCTCTCAATGTCTTTCCCAAGCCAGAGTCTTCTGCTGCCTCTGACCCTCTCTAGAACATGGGGAAATTATGTTGTTCTCAACACATCCAATTCTATGGGGTTTTTAAGGTTTCTCATCATTTCTGTGCTAATCTCTCAGGGTTGAGTATTGGTCTACATTTCCTGCACCACGAGGGATGCATCAGAAGTCAGGGTTCTCCAGTGAAATATAACCAATATGATGTTTATTGACATTGATATGGTTTGAATCTGTGTCCCCACCAAAAGCTTATGTTGAATTGTAATCCCCAGTATTGGAGGTGAGGCCTGGTGGGAGGTGATTGGATGATGGGGTGGATCCTTCATGAATGGTTTAGCACCATCCTTTTGGTGCTGTCTTGTGATAGGGCTCTCATGAAATCTTGTTGTTTGAAAGTGTGTGGCACCTCCCTCTCTCTCTCTTCTTCCTGCTCTGGCCATTTAAGACATCCCTGCTTCTCTTTCACCTTCCACCATGACTGTAAGTTTCCTGAGGCCTCCTCAGAAACAGAAGCCACTGTGTTTCCTGAACGGCCTGCAGAACCGTGAGCCAATTAAACGTCTTTCTTTATAAACTACCCAGTCTCAGTATTTCTTTATAGCTATGTGAGAATGGACTAATACGAAATAAAGCTTAATTAGTTTTACACTTTAGATATACAGTCATGTATTGCTTAATGCCAGGGGTACGTTCTGAGGAATGTGCTAGTAAGTAAGGTCATGGTAACACAATGGTAAGTATTTGTGTATCTAAGCATATACTTCCATAGTGAAGGTACAGTAAAAACATAGTATAAAAGATAAAAATGGTACACTTTTATAGGGCATTTACCACAAGTGGAGCTTGCAGGGCTGGAAGTTGCTCTAGGTGAGTCAGTGAATGAGTGCTGAGTGGATGTGAAGGCCTAGACATTACTGTAAACCACTGTAGACTTTATAAATACTGTACACTTAGGCTACACTACATTTCTTTTTTTGAGACACAGCTAGAGTGTAATGGCACAGTCTCAGCTCACAGCAACCTCCGCCTCCCGGGTTCAAGTGATTCTTCTGCCTCAGCCTCCTGAGTAGCTTGGATTACACGTGCCCACCACCACACCTGGCTAATTTTTTTTATTTTTTATTTTTAGTAGAGATGGGGTTTCACCATATTGGCCAGGCTAGTCTTGAACTACTGACCTTGTGATCCACCCACCTTGGCCTCCCAAAGTGCTGGTATTACAGGCGTGAGCCATTGCACCCAGCCAGGCTACACTAAATGTATAGAAAAATATTATAAATTAATCGTAGCTTACTGTAACTTTTTAACTCTCTTGTAATAATATCACGTAGCTTACAATACATTGTACAGCCGTACAAAAGTGTTTTCTTTATACCCTTATTCCATAAGCTTCTATTTTTAAAATTTTATCTTTTTTTTTTTAACTTTTTAAACTTTTTTTGTTGTTGTTAAAAATGAAGACAAAAATGCACACATAACCTGGGCCTACACATGGTTAGGATCATCAATGTCACTGTTTTCCGCCCCTTTATCTTGTCCCATGGGAAGGTCTTCAGGGACAATAACATGCATGGGGCTGTCCTCTCCTATGACACCAGTGCTTTTTCTGGGATCCCTCCTGAAGGACCTGCCGAGCCTGTTTTCCAGTTACATTTTTTTTTTTTTGTAAGTAGGAGTACACTCTAAAATAGTGATAAAAGTACAGTAAATATATAAACCAGCAACATATTTATTGTAACTATCAAGTACTAGGTACTGCATAATTCTATGTGCTAGAGGTACTTTTATGTAATTGGCAGTGCAGTAGGGTTTGTTTACACCTGCATCACCACAGACATGTGAGTAATGAGCTGGGGTTATGACTTTATAATGATTATGGCATCACTAGGTGACAGGAATTTTTCAGCTTCATTATAATCTTATGGTACCACTCTTGTATACATGGTTCATCATGGACAGAAATGTCTTTATGTGCTATGTAACCCTCTGTGTGTGTGTGTGTGTGTGTGTGTGTGTGTGTGTATGTGTGTGTGGGGCCGTGGATTTAAAATAATTGCTTTGTTCTAAAATATTGGCATAGATAAATGTAAAAATGTATTATTCCTGAGCAATTAAGCAGTAGGTTCCTGCAATTGCAGGGATGGCAAGTCTGCCCTCCGTAGGGCAGCCCAGCAGACTGGAAACTCCAGCAAGAGCAGATGCTGCGGTCTTGAGTCAGAACTCCACAGGGAAAACTGGCAGGCTGGAAACCAGGCAGGACTTCTATGTTGCAGTCTTCAGGCAGAATTTCTTCGTTTCCAGGAATTTTCAGTTTTTGCTCTTAAGGCCTTCAGCTGGTTGGATGAGGCCCACTCATAGAATGGAAGGTCATTTTCTCTACTTAAAGTCAATTGACTGTGCATTTTAATCACATCTACAAAATATCGTCACAACATGTAGAACAGTGTTTGGCCAAGCAACTGGACACCATAGCCTGGCCAAGTTGATACATGAAATTAGCCATCACACAGGCTCTGGATTCCGTGGTTCCATCTACCCAGTTACACGTGAGAGCACTGCCCAGGAGCTCTGCTGCTTGCTGCCTCCTGTGATTCACTGAGGCAAGGGGAGCAGGTTCCTCCCAGGTGCGGACTCTCCTGTCCGTTCTGAGTTTCCATTTTGTGTCCCGCATTTCCCCAAACCCAAGGATCTGAGCTCTGCCAAACCTAAGCTCTTGTTCCCTCCCCAGACTGTCCTTCTCTCCCAGACACGTGTCAGGGACAGGAAACTTTTCACTTAATCCGTATTTTTCTGCCAGATCAATTTTCTTTGCAGAAGTCTTTTTAGTTCCTGTGAGTCCCTGGCTTATGCCATTTAAAATATAAGACTTGGTTGTCTTTGCCTTTTTTCCCTTCTGTTAGTCTTTGCTTCAGTGGTAATGAATGCAAAATGGCCTATCTGACAATTGGAGAAGGCCCAAGTAATGCTACAAAATGGGGGAAATATTAAAAAATACTGTTTAGCCCTTATAAGTTATTACATGCCTTCAAAGAAAATTTACTTTCCATCCTCCCCTAAACCTACCAGGATGGGACCTGCTTCTGACTCCCAGACTGCATTCTTCGAGGTGCTTATCACCCACACAGCCATGGGAAAGGATGGAAGCAGAGCTTGCTTTGGGCTGACATAAGCCTGCAATCTGTACATATACCTGAGGGATGAGACACTCTTTCTTATTTACAGGCATTAGGTAATGTGAGCTGGTTCCCCAATGTGACTCTCCAGCCGTGGCCTCTCATTCAGATTCACGTCCAGTCTCTATGTCTTGACTGCCTTGAAGTGAGGGGGAGAGAGACCAGCCTCTCCCAGGACCAATGGATACTTTCCTTGGCTCCCACTGGCTTTCTGAGACATCCCAACTCCCAAGAAGGGCACCCTAGCTTCCACTAGCAGCTGTGTGCACAAATACCTTGATGTTTGCTTTTCTTACAGGTAAAGCAGAACAACCACAATCACAACACAACTATAGGGCCTCAGGAGCTCTCCCAGAAACCTTCTCCCTCTGCAGTTGGGCAGTGCTTTCTGACTGGGAGGGCGTGCAGCCTTCTCCAAGCACAACCTCTTTGTGTGTTCCCAGGCCTTAAATATAAATGGCAGTTGAATGGGTGTATCATTTGCTGGAAGTTGGGATTTCAGTGCCTTAGTGGCTGGAGCTGGTGGTGCAGGAGTTACTCTTGACTTTGCAGTACTTGGAGGAGGTCTGAGACCAGGGTAGAAGTTGTATATCTCGTTTTATACACTTTTCTTTTTTGAAGTGTTCTTCTGGTACTCAAAGAATTTAATCTATCAGGAAGCTTCAGCAAGGCTACATTCTTTCTTCTTCTTCTTCTTCTTCTTTTTTTTTTTGAAGCGAGTCTCGCTCTGTTGCCCAGGCTGGAGTGCGGGAGCGTGATCTCAGCTCACTGCAAGCTCTGCCTCCTGGATTCAAGCGATTCGCGATTCTCCTGCCTCAGCCTCCTGAGTAGCAGGAACTACAGGCGACCGCCACCACACCCGGCTAATTTTTTGTATTTTTAGTAGAGATGGAGTTTCACTGTGTCAGCCAGGACGGTCTCAATCTCCTGACCTCATGATCCACCCGCTTTGGCCTCCCAAAGTGCTAGCATTACAGGCATGAGCCACCGTGCCCGGCCTCCTTTCCTCTTTTTCTAATGCTCAATCTGCATCCACCCAGGATATTTAAAACATTTTGTCATATTTGTTCAATTGCAGCTTCGTTACAGTTCATGATTTTGCAAGTCGTCCATGATGCCTGAGGGTCTAACTCACTATTCCTTCCGGGGGTCATAGTCACTGCCTCCAGTTGCCTTGGTTCTATTTGTAGGGCTTTAAACAATTTATGACTGTATTAGGATTTCTAGAGATTCTAGATAAATCTCATGTATTGGATTCAAATTTCTATTCACAAATTAGGTGTCTAGAAAATGCAACTTATATTTCCAAAATTTAACATCTAATTTGAAGCACCATTTCTATCTGTTGGGGTGATAGAAATTTCATATTGGGGGTGGGGCACGGTGGCTCATGCCTGTAATCCCAGCACTTTGGGAGGCCAGGGCAGGCAGGTCACTTGAGGTCAGGAGTTTGAGACCAGCCTGGGTAACATGGTGAAACCCTGTCTTTACTAAAAATACAAAAATTAGCTGGGTGTAGTGGCCGGTGCCTATAACCCCAGCTACTCGGGAGGCCGAGGCAGGAGAATCACTAGAACCCGGGCAGTGGAGGTTGCAGTGAGCTGAGATTGTGCCACTGCACTCCAGCCTGGGCGACAAAGCGAGACTCCATCTCAAAAAAAAAAAAAAAAGAAATTTCATATGAATCTGGGGTTCTTCCTTCCCCATTTCCCTAGGGTAGCATCTAAGTTCTAAAGGCACGTGGTGACAAGGTATCGGTGGGGAGGGCTCTGCATCTGTGATTCTCAGAATCAGTGGTAGCCAGCTACAAGGTTCACAGACCTCTCTGGCCTTTGGTTAAGTCAATACTGAAGTGTCTGTACTTGAACATGTAAACTGGTTTGATATGGTTTGGCTGTGTCTCCACCCAAATTACCCAGTCTCCAGTATGTCTTTATCAGCAGCATGAAAACGGACTAATACATGGTTCCATTCCCTTTATGCCTGTGGCAATCTAAGGACATTTTAACCTATACATGAACACTGATGGCTTCGTTGTTCTAATAATATGGATTACAAATACAGAGAAAAATAATAAAGATATTGTTTAGGTTAGAGAATCAGGCTTTGGAATAAGAAAATAAATATTTGTATCAAAGCATCTGCCATAGTGTAGTCTTAGTGCTCTTGGGGCCTCCATATGGGCTGCTCCCAGGATAAGAATTGTAGCCATACATAGTTTACGTTCAGGAAAGGGTACTAATGAAGAAGCCCATTGTTTAACCATTCTCCTGCTGCTCAAAAAGATAAGTACAACCTCAAGACCTTGAACATCTAGGTCAAATCTTAACACAACAGAGCTGGGGGAGGGACACTCGGTAGTAAGCCCACCGGGCAGATTATGACACCTGCTTTACAGACCACCACTCACAGATTCAAGGGGAGGCTTCCATGGAAAATGTAATGGTAAGAGATGATCTTCCTTGCTTCCCTTGTCCCCTGGGTCTCAGAGTTAGGAAGGAGGCTGTGCAGGGGGAGTATAAGATGAATTTTTGTTTTCTCTAAGAAAGATTATGTGATTAAGAATCATCCTTTTGAGAGTCTTAGTCACTTTAAGTAAAACTGATCTCTTAAAGGGGGTACTTCTTTTCTAAAATATAAATGAAATGACTTAACAATGGGTAGTAACTATATAGAAGGCATTGGTCTGCTGAAGTCTGATGTCATTCAAACATGGATTAATTTAGCAGAGTTTTAAAATATTTGTTACTGAAGGATTTTCAGCATTGTAAAAGTGTTATATTAGAAACTGTCCCTTAGTAAACTCAGGCAATTCCATTGCATGGTAGTAGCTGCATGAGCACCCTTTAGTGAACGGCTCCATAGAACATTTATGTCAGTTTGTGAGTCTGAACAAGTAAATTAATTTTCTAAACAGAAGACCCAGGAAATAAATCATTTTGTAAATCCCTAGAGGTTTATTTTCACTCATTTTTTTTTCATATCCTTAATGATAAGCTGTGCATTCTGGCATTGGGGGCAGGACATGCATTCAACAGAGGCTTCCATGCATTCGACAGAGGTTTGAGCATCTAATAAGTACGAGACACTGTGGTAGGCACTGGAGATACTAAAAGATGTGAGAATGGCCCCTGGCTGTAAGAACATCCAAGGATAAGTGGAGAAGAGATGCTCATTCACAGTTAAAATACAACATTATGAGCTCTAAAACAGCACAACACTGAGGGGTTCATGAAAATCTCCTCCAAGGAGGTGAGCACCTGGCTATTTTTCTCTTTGTTTGTCTGGGACAGGGTCTCTTTCTGTCACCCAGGCTGGAGTGCAGTGGGACAATCACAGCTCACTGCAGCTTTGAACTCCTGGGCTCAACAGATCCTCCCACCTTAGTCTCTTGAATAGGTGGGACCACAGGCATGCACAACCATACTTGTCTAATTAAAATTTTTTGTTTGTTTGTTTTGTAGAGACAGGGTCTCACTGTGTTGCCCAGATTGATCTTGAACTCCTGGGCTCAAGAGATCCTCCCACTTCAGCCACCCAAAATGTTGGGATTACAGATGTGAGCCACGTGCCTGGTTCTGGCTGTGTTTTTAAAAATAACAAACAAGAGCTGCTTCTTTTAGAAATTGAGAAATCACCCCTCTTGTGATCCAAACAAACAAGAGTAAAACTTAGGAAGTATGGTATTGGCCAGTCAAAATATTCTTGTTTAAAGTAGCACAGCAGAGGTTATAGACAAAAAGAGTAAAATATATAATATTTCTTCTAAGTTTAGTTGTTTAAACAACTAATTGTGCAAATTTAATTTTGGTAATATGTATGCTGCACTGTGTTGGCAGTGAAGTATTGTTTGATTCTTCCTGCGTATTGATTCCAAAAGCTTCTTTTTTGAGATACAGCCTCGCCCTGTCACCCAGGCTGCAGTGCAGTAGCGTGATCTCAGCTCACTGCAACATCCACCTACTGGGTTCAAGTGATTCTCCTGCCTCAGCCTCCCGAGTAGCTGCGATTACAGGCATGTGCCACCATGCCCGGCTAATTTTTTGTATCTTTAGTAGAGTTGGGATTTCACCGTGTTGGCTGGGCTGGTCTCAAACTCCTGACCTCATGATCCGCCCGCCTTGGCCTCCCAAAGTGCTGGGATTACAGGCCTGAGCCACCACACCTGGCCCAAAAGCTTCTTAAAATGCAAACTTCAGGACTTTCAATTATCCTTTCATACTTGACAAAAATTCAGAATGTACTAAACCTTATGACACATATAACTTTTTGTGTTGTTCTTCCTTGAAAATGGGGGCAAAAGTTCCAGCTAGCTTGGTGTGAGATGTCATTTTCTTTGCCTTGAAGATAGAAGAGGTAGTAAGCCTTCCAGGCAGATTATGACACGTGCTTTACAGACCACTACTCACAGGTTCAAGGAGGGGCTTCCATGAAAATGTAGCAGTAAGATGATCTCCCTGCCTCCTTCTTCTCCTGGGTCTCAGGGTCAGAAAGGAGGCTGTGCAGGAGAGCATAAGACAAAGAATGATGATTCTAAATAACAACTAACAGTGATTTTTACTTCCTTTGGTGGGTTGTCTAAAATTTAATTTCCTAGTCTCTAAAAATGAGGGATTTGGGTTAGAAGACCTCTAAGAATCCTGAGGACATATTGTAAGTATGACTCTACGTTTGGTAAAGCAAAACATTTAGATGAAATAGTTACTCTGGTAATGCAAGTGCCAACAAGACTCAAATTCCTGAATTTTCTTGATGCTGTCAGTAGGTCAGTTTTTAAATGCAATTTAAAAATTAGTCCTGAGTAATTGAGAAGGCATAAAATAGCGACCAGTTTATCCAATTTGTCGTTACTGGTTTACCACATATCTAAAGAGATAGAGGTGTTATAAATCAGCCCTGTAGTTTTTATCTGTGGTCCTGAAACTTGGTACTGCTACTCTGGGCTTCTTACATCACTGACTTTTCACAGATTTCCTGAAAATAAAACCTCTATATTCAAGGGTTGAAATTTGGCTCTCTCATAGATATTGTCCAGGAACATCCTTGTCCATGAGATTTGTGGGCTTTCAGGAAGACTACTGTGGACGTGGAGCACATTACATCTCAAGGAATCGAGGAATCCATCAAAAGGCACTCATTGCTTGCTGCAATGATTGTCCTTCTCTGTCCTCCAGGCTCCCAGCACCCACTGTGTGGAATACAACTACACCATGGCCAGATATCCCATCTTTCATAAGATAACTTTAGATTTAGGTATGAATTTGTTCAACATTTTTCTCTTAATAAGGCAAAAACATGCTATAGGTTTAGGGAGAGAATCCTGGAAGGGGTGGACCAGTCAAGGCTCTGAGCCAGAATGAGGGAGGCAAGCCAAGTTCAGGACAGAGAGGGGTAAGGACAAGGTCAATGGTGGGTTGGAGCCAATTAGGCAGCTGGACTGTCATAGATAGAATCTGCCACGCAGAGATGGACATGAGTTGAGTCCTGTCCCTTGGCACTAGCTGCAGACTTTCAGTTAGTTCCCTAATGCCTTTGTGTGTATTTCCATGGGAAATAAAATAGTGTCTGCATCATGAGCTTATTTGAGGGATAAAATAAGAAAGTAAACAGACCATGAATGTGCCTAGCAAATAATGGTTTCTCAATTAAAAGTAATTCTTTTTGGTTTGCACTCAGTGTGGAAATGCAGGGCGGATGCAGATACTGGGCAAAAGTCTAAACACATAGCTCTGTGATGTCTCCAAGAAAAGAGGAGGCAGAGAATGACTTGTAGGGCAACAAATATTTGTCAAGATCCTCTGTGCTGCTGGGCCCTCCTGAGGCTACTGTAACCACCCGATGGGTTCTTCCTGCCTACTGCACAGACAAAACCAATTCACTGAGACCATGGCATTAAAATAAAGAGTTTAGTAGACATGAGGCTGGCCAGGCCATGTGGGAGATGGAGGAATTACTCAAATCAATCTCCCAGAAAATTCAGAGGCTATGGTTTTTCAAAGATAGTTTGGTGGGCCAGGGAGTCCACTTCTGGAAGTGGCCAAAGGACTGGTCAGCAGAGGTTTGGCAGGTCTGGGTGGAGCCACTGGTCAGAAATGCAAATACCTGGACAGACAACTCAAAAAGCCAATCTTAGTTCTGCAGTAGTGATAGTATCTGCAGGAGTCATGGGGGAGTTGCAAATCTTGTGACCTCCAGAATAGTGGCTGGTAATTGTTTATATCTACACCTTAGCAAAATTCAGCCTCCTCATCTTCCTAACCTGGTGGTCTTTCATTAGCTTCATAAAGGTGGTTTAGTTTTGGGGAAGGGCTATTATCAGTTAAACTATAAACTAAATGTCTCCCAAAGCTAGTTTGGCCTAAGCCCAGGAATGATTAAGGGCAGTTTGGAGGTTAAAGGCAAAGTAGGGGTTGTTAGATCAGATCTGTTTGACTGTCATATTTTTCTCAAGTTACAATTTTTGCAAAGGTGTTTTCACTACTTCTTTGGAATTTGTTTACCTTCTTTATTTAAGGGTCCTGCATTAGTCCATTTTTACACTGCTAACAAGAACTGCCTGAGACTGGGTAATTTACAAAGGAAACAGGTTTAATTGACTTACAGTTTTGCATGGCTGGGGAGGCCTCAGGAATTTACAATCATGGTGGAAGGCAAAGGAGAAGCAAGTACCTCCTTCACAAGATGTCAAGAGACAGAATGAAAGGGAAGTGCCACACTTTTAAACCATCAGATCTCATGAGAATTCACTCACTATCACGTGAACAGAATTGAGGAAACCGCCCCCATAATCCAATCACCTCCCACCAGGTCCCTCCTTCAACCTGTGGGGATTACAACTTGAAATAAGATTTGGATGGGGACACATAGCGAAACCATATCAGGTCTTAATCAAACACAAATCCTGGGCCTGATTTGAAGCAGGTCATGAGAGAGTGGAGTACAATGGCAACTGCAGTGGCATGAGCAGAGAGGGGACAGGAGGATGGCTCCCACATGGCAGAAGGATTGTCCTCAGGCACCTTTTACACATGGGACATCCCAGTGCATTTACATATATCAATGTATCTATTGGAGTTAGGTTTATAGGGAGCTTTTAGGAATGCAGCTACTGTATGAAGGCTGCCTTAAGGCTTTTGGGAGAGGAAAGGCAAGGCATGAATGAAAAGAACAAAACCTAGGCCGGGCGCGGTGGCTCACACCTGTAATCCCATCACTTTGGGAGGCCGAGGCAGGCGGATCATGAGGTCAGGAGATCGAGACCATCCTGGCTAACATGGCGAAACCCCATCTCTACTAAATATACAAAAAAGTAGCTGGGCGAGGTGGCAGACACCTGTAGTCCCAGCTACTCGGGAGGCTGAGGGAGGAGAAAGGCGTGAACCCGGGAGGAGGAGCTTGCAGTGAGCCTAGATCACACCACTGCACTCCAGCCTGGGCGACAGAGCGAGACTCTGTCTCAAAAAAATAAAAAATAAAAAAAGGAAAAGAACAAAACCTGTAATAAAAAGTAAAAAGATGCCATTCGTTAGTGAAGCTTTACAGATATCACTTGCCTTCAGTTTCAGACACAAGCAATTTTCCTTCACTGGTGTGCTGGCTTGAGGTTACTGCTGCTCAAAAGCAATTTCCTTACTTTTGTTGTTAAGCTGTATATTCCCCCTAAGCACTCTGGTGTTTTCCATAGCTGACAGTCTCATGATTTGAATTGTAGGTTTTGTTTATTTGGGAACCTTTCGTATATTTTATTCTGAACCAATAAACATTTCTAGCCCTTGAGGAGGACAGCTGAAGAAGAGCAAGTGATGCCAAATGGTGTGGCTTGTCCAAGAGCAAGGGCTTCAGAATTGTGTTAGCAGAGCAGGAGGACACTGGTCATGACTCTGAACCTGGCAGGGGGTCTGGCACAAGGACTGATTTGGATTATTGATAAAGGAAGCAAGGTCAGAACCAGAATGCTCTCCCTTGACCCTTCTGAGAAAGAACTTCTAATCCTTGGTAGTTGTGTTAGGCTCTTCTTGCATTGCTGTAAAGAAATATCTGAGACTGGGTAATTTATAAAGAAGAGAGGTTTAATTGGCTCACAGTTCTGCAGGTTTTACAAGGAGCATGGTGCCAACATCTGCTTAGCTTCCTGGGGGGCGGTGGCGGGCCTCAGGAAGCTTACAATCATGGCAGAAGGCGAAGTGGGAGCAGGCACATCACATGGTGAAAACAAACAAGAAAGAGAATGCAGGGAGTGGTGGTGGGGGGAGGTGCCACACACTTTTAAATGATCAGGTCTCACAAGAACTCACTCACTATCATGAAGACAACAAAAAGCCATGAGGGATCCACCCCCATGACCAAAACATCTCTCACTAGGCCCCACCTCCAGCATTAGGGATTAAAATTCTACATAAGATTTGGGTAGGGACAAATATCCAAACTATATCCTTCTGCTTCTGGCTCCTGCCAAATCTCATGTCCCTCTCACATTGAAAAATACAATTATGCTTACCCAACAGTTCCCTAAAGTCTTAACTCATTCCAGCATTAACTCAAAAAGTTCCAAATCCCAAGCCCAAAGTCTCCTCTACAGATAAGTTCCTTCCATCTGTGTACCTGTAAGATCAAAACAAGTTATTTACTCCCAAGATGCAATGGAAGTATAGGCATTGTGTAAACATTCCCATCCCAAAAAGAAGAAATCAACAAAAAGAAAGGGGCTAGAGGCCCCATGCAAGTTCAAAACCCAACAGGGCAGTTGTTAAATCCTAAACTTCTAAAATAATCTCCTTTGACTTTATGTCCTACATCCAGGGCACATTGGTGCAAGGGGTGGGCTCTCAATGCCCTGGGCAGCTTTGCCTCTGTGGCTTTGTAGGGTAAGGCCCCTGTGGCTGCTCTCAGGTTGTTGAGTGCTTGCAGCTTTTCCAGGTGTAGAGTGCAAGTTGCTGGTGGATTCTACCAATTCTGGGGTCTGGAGGATGCTGGCTCCCTTCTCATAGCTTCACTAGGCAGTGCCCCAGTGGGGTCTCTCTGTGGGGCCTCCAACCTTACATTCCTCCTCTGCACTGCCTTCATAGAGGTTCTTCGTGGGGGCTCTGCTCCTGCAGCAGGCTTCTTCCTGGGTACCCAGGCTTTCTCATACAGCCTCTGAAATCTAGGTGGAAGCTGCCAAGCCTCGTTTACTCTTGCACTCTGCATGTCTGTATGCTTAATACCACATGGAAGCCACCAAGGCTTATAGCTTGTGCCCTCTGGAGCAGTGGCCTGAGCTATATATGCATACCTTTGAGCCATGGCTGGAGCTGCAGTGGCCAGGATGTTGGGGGCAGTGTCCTGAGATTGTGCAGGGCAGTGGGGCTCTGGGCCTAGCCTACAAAACCAATTCCCTCCTAGACCTCTGGGCCTGTGATGGGAAGGGCTGCCTTAAAAGTCTCTGAAATGCCTTTGAGGGCTTTTCTCCACTGTGTTGGATAGTAGCACTTGGCTCCCTTTTAGTTATGCAAATATCTCTAGCAAGTAATTGTTACACAGCCTGCTTAAATTCCTCTCTTGAAAAAGCTTTTTCTTTCTCTCCTACATAGCCAGGCCACAAATTTTGCAACCTTTTTTACACTCTGCTTTTCTTTTAAATGTGTTTTAACTTATTCCTTTGCTTCTACACCTAAGCATAGGCTTTTAGAAGCAGCCACAACACTTCTTGAACACTTTGCTGCTTAGAAATTTCTTCTGCCAGGTACCCTAAGCCATCACTCTGAAATTCAACCTTCCACAGATCCCTAGGACATTAATCCCTAGGAATTACCATCCTGGAATGCTCTATTTATCTTGTGAACATGATTGGTAATTTTCCATAATACATTCTGTGAATTGTCAGTGGATAAGGCCTTTAATGTAAAAAGAAAAGTCTACAGAATTGCTTGTCATTTGCCTAAGAGAATCTATAATAGATCCCTAGGACATAAACAGAATGCAGCCAAGTTCTTTGATAAGGCATAACAAGGGTGACATTCACTCAATTTCTCAATAAACTCCTCATTTCCATCTGAGACCTCCTCAGCTTGGACTTCGCTATCCATATCACTATCAGCATTTTGGTCACAACAAGCTAACTAGTCTATAAGAAGTTCCAAACTTTCCCTCATCTTCCTGTCTTCTTCTGAGCCTTCCAAACTCTTTCAACCTCTGCCCATTACCCACTTCCAAAGCTGCTTCCACATTTTCAGGTATCTTTATAGCAATGCCTCACTCCTGGTACCAATTTTTTCTGTGTTAGACTGTTCTTGTATTTCTATAAAGATATACCTAAGATTGGGAAATTTATAAAGAAAAGAGATTATATTGTCTCATGGTTGTTCAGGCTTTTCAGGAAGCCTGGTGCCAACATTTGTTCAGCTTCTGGGGAGGCCTCAGGAAGCTTACAATCATGGCAGAAGGTGAAGGGGGAGCAGACATATCACATGAAAGCAGGAGCAAGAGAGAGACAGAGTGTGTGTGTTTTAGGGGTGCCATACACTTTTAAATGGCCAGATCTCACAAGAACTCATTCACTACCACAAACACAGCACCAAGCCATGAGGGATCTGCTGCCATGATCCAAACAACACCCACCAGGCCCCACCTCCAGTATTAGGGATTACAGTTCCACATGAGATTTGGGTGGGGACAAATATCCCAACTATATCAGTAGAATTAGCATCTGGGGGCAGGAAACTTTTTTCTCCTGACAAGTTGCAAATTGATCCATTGGTTCTCTTAGGCAAATGACAGGCAATTCTGTAGACTTTTCTTTTTACATTAAAGGCCTTATCCACTGACAATTCACAGAATGTATTATGGAAAATTACCAATCATGTTCACAAGATAAATAGAGCATTCCAGGATGGTAATTCAATGATCACCTAAGAAGACTGTGTCTTGCTAAGGTCACCACATGCGTCTATGTGTGTGCCCACACAGATACATCCTTTATCTGCAAGCAGATATGTTATTGGTGTCTCATTTGAGTTTCCTTGAGTTGGTCATGGGCTTTAATTGCTGCTGTTTGATTATAAATTACAATTTGTTTAGCTTCAACTGATTGGTTACCTCTTCAAAATAGAGTGACTGATCTGTATTTGAGTCAACAGTAATTTTTGACTTAAGCTTTTCCAAAATTTAAAATTTAAAATGTGTATATACTATGGTATAAATAGGAATTGGCCATTCTCCTATTGCATAATAGATACATAGAATGCCCCATTCTGCAATTTTTGAGTATGATATATCTTCAACTTTGATGGGCCTGTGAATTTGTGCTATTTAAATAACCTGCACCTTATGATCAAGGTAAGTCTTTTAAAATCACTGAATTATTTTTAACATTTATAATGGGTTATACCCCTTTGTATTTTTCTGTTATGAAATAAATCATAAGCAAGTCATCAAATTGGAACTTGACAGTTTATAATAGCATTTTTTTCTGTTATACTCCTTTCAATTCTTTATGAAAAAATTTTTTTCGATTGCAGTGTGTGTGGGTGATAGGCTCTGGGATCTTCTGCCTATCTGCAGTGCTCTGAGATTCAAAAAGTACAATTCCAACTCTTTAGAGATCAGCTTATGTCTTACCTCCTCGTGAATCCTGCTCTGAGTCATCTAGGACGGAGCTCTCTATCTTAGGGATAATCTGTCTTCCTCTTGAGTTATGCATATTTTCTTGGGTTTGCAGTGGAATTTTTCAGTTCTTTACAGGTTAGGACCATTATCCAATAAACTTTATTTATATTTCCCAGAGTTACCAAACACTTGAGGGCACATACTGGACAATCCATAGAGAGTTCTCAGCTGGGGTCCTTCTTGTCATCAATAGTGCATGACAGGTAAGAAAAGTGTGGGAGGATCACTTTGAGAATGGGAATACTTAGATTTATGAAAAAAAAAGTGATAAATGAATGATCTGTTTCAAACAAAGGTCATATTTGAGCCAAGTCACACAAAGTACAGGCATGCCAGAGTGTCAGTGTTAGGCAGACAAAGCGGGAGAAGGAGCTATGTCTTACTTCTCAAGTCATGCTTTAGTGCACCCCCCGGTTGACTCATCTCACTGCTTCCCACTGGTGCCCGCATGCAATATGTTCTCCTCACCAGTCAGTGACTTTTTAAAAATGCAAATCAGATGACATTGCTCTGTGCAATACCCTTTAATAGCTTCCTATTGCAGTCCTAATGAAATCCAAAGTCCTGCCATGGCCTCCAGAGTCCTGCCTATCTGGCCTCATCTTCTACTACCTTATCTCCCTACTCCAGCCATGCTGGCCCTTTCCATCCTCTTGGACTGGCCTAAGCTTGTGCTTGCCTTGTGCTTTTGCCTGATGTGCTCTCCCTCTGGATCTTTGTGTGGCTGGCATCTTCATGTAATTCTGATCTCATCTCCAATATCAACTCTTCAGGAAAGCCTTTGCTGACCCTCCATTCTAAATTTATGTGCCCACTGCTGCATTGTATTAATCATGTTTTTATTTTCTGTGCTTTATGATGTTTTGACATCTTGGGGCTTTGCTCATCCTGGAGAAACTGCCCCTCCAGGGCTGGCTCCTAGGGATAGGAAACAACTTGCCTGCAAGAATGCCCTTTTCTTGTCTTTCCTTTCCTTTCCTTTTCTTTTCTTTTCTTTTCTTTTCTTTTCTTTTCTTTTCTTTTCTTTTTTTTTCTTTTCTTTTCCTTTCCTTTTCATTCCATTCCATTCCTTTCCTTTCCTCTTTTCTCTTTTCTTTTCCTTTCTTTCAGATGGAGTCTTGCTCTGTTGCCCACGCTGGATTGCAAGTGGCACAATCTTGATCTCGGCTCACTGCAACCTCCACCTCCTGGATTCAAGTGAGTCTCGCGCCTCAGACTCCCAAGTAGCTGGAATTACAGGCATGTGCCACCATGCCTGGCTAATTTTTGTGTTTTTAGTAGTGATGGGGTTTCACCATGTTAAGCATGCCTTTCACATGCAAACCAACCAATCCAAAGCCCACGCCTCAACACCTTCCTTTATCTCACTCACACACCAAGCCAATATTCCTCCTGCCCTAAATCATCCCAGGGCCAGGTACCAGACAACTCAGGACTGTTGCTATAGTCAAAAGCCCACTGAAATTAGCCAAAGTATCCAATCCTAAACTTGCACTGCCTGCCCGGTCTGCCCCCCTCATTCTTTCCTGTGAAATCTAAAATAATGGCTCTTGCCCATGCTTTCTCCTTGCTTGCACTGCCTCCTGGCCAACCCTGGTGCTTCCCCATGTGGCACTGCAGGGCATGGTATCCCCCTCCTGTAGGGAACTGTGAGTATAAACTCTTTTTTCAAGGCAGTTGTCTCCATGTCTGTCATCTTGCCACACTGATTAAAACAAAATCCCAAGAACATTTAAACACATACTTTACCCCATGTGGCCTTATCCTCCGTCATTTCATCCTAGTTTTGTTTTTCGGGACTCTTAGCCCCTGAAACTTGCAAATATAAGCTGCTTTTCCTTGGATACAGGAAAAATGAGTGCAGGGGTCTTTTTTCTGTTCACCACTACAGCCCTAGCGCTCAGACCAGAGCCTGGCAAAATGGGAAATCAGCTAATATTTCCCGACTGAAGCTTATAGACACTGAGAGAAGAGCACTAAGAAAATCAAATGAAAGAATGAGAAATCATTTTGAAAGTTCTGAAGTACTACACAATTAAAATGGTTTACTGATATATTCCCCTGGTCTCTCAAATTAATTTTAAATAACATCACTGGCAGGTTCTGGAAAGGCATTATGGAAGTACTTTTACACATTTTTTCTGCACAGAAGTCCAGGATATCCATAGTGGCCTCAGAAAAATTTACTAGGGAAAATTATACCAAAGTGACCCTGTGACTTCTTCTGAGACTGCCTTGTGTTGGCTCCCTCTTCCTGGGCAGTCGGACTACATCTCCCAGAATCCCTTGCAGTTGGGTCTGGTCATTATGACTGCTCTCTAGCCAATAGAATGCAAGTGAAATTACCATGCGCCACTTCTGGGCCTGGCCCATCCAAGCATCCCCTGGGCAATTATTCGTGTTCTTTTACCTTCCCAGGTGAATTCTGAAACTGTGGGTGGTAACTGAAAGTGACATAGAATGGAAGGAATCTTGATTTATAAAGTATCACTTCAAGCAACGTCACTCAATGACCGGCAACATTCCTTTTGGACTTTACCTGGGTGAGAAACTTTTAATGAGTTAGACCACTGAAGTTTCATGGGTGAGCTGCTTAGCAGCTGCTGTTGTCTTAATTAACATAGGTACCTCTGGGGCCAGGTGAAATATAACTGGTTCCAAACTCTGGTGATGACAAGGGATTGAAAGCCCTCTTCACACAGGGAGATGTACTTCTTGAAGACCCAAGGTCGTGAAAGTAGAGCAAACTCTTTCTGATTAGGCTTGGCGTCCACTTCGTGTATGGTCCAGGTCCACTGCTCTGTGCTCCTCTCTGCAAATGCTGCGATTCAGGTTCTGCCATGACTCAGCATCTTCCCTTGATTGGGTTAGAAAGGGCAATCCTGAAGAAAAGAAATTCATATCTGTCAATTTGGTGGAGTTTGCAAAAGTCTGCTAAAATGAAATTGTCTGATATTAATTCTCTGGGCCACAGGCAAATGGCCAGAAGGTAGACATCTGATTTCCTCCCAAGACAGGACTTGCTGCCTGAGGCCTGGCTGTCAGCAAAAGGTAAAGGCCTGGAACTCACCTGCCACTGTGCAGTGTTCATCCCTTTTCTAACCATCTGTTCTCCATCCTGGGAGGCAGGACTTCTGTGCTTTCCCATCATTGAAGCCACTCTTCTGCATAACCCCTTATCCCTCCCTCTGCCCTCTGGGTAGATGAATTCCCTCCTTCACCCTCAGAATTGCCCCTCTGAGCCCTTCCCTCAGAGCTGTAGTTTGTCCTCAGCTGTTTCAAGGTCTCCATAGTGATCCAGTGATGGAGAAGAATAGGAAAATTTGGGGCTGTTGTCAGGTGGCAGAGGCTTTTCTCCACAGATTCACCGAAGGCAAAGACCAAAGGGAAGGAATGCCTGTAAGTTTCCTTTTCTGTGTCTGGGAGGGTGCGGCAGTAAGAACCCAGGCTGGGTTTCTGGAGACCTTAAAAAAAGACCTGTAGGTGGCCAGGTGCGGTGGCTCATGCCTGTAATCCCAGCACTTTGGGAGGCTGAGGCAGGCAGATCACGACATCAAGAGTTCAAGACCAGCCTGGCCAAGATGGTGAAACCCCGTCTCTGCTAAAAAAACTACAAAAATTAGCCAGGTGCGGTGGCAAGCGCCTGTAATCCTAGCTACTCAGGAGGCTGAGGCAGAATAATCGCTTGAACCTGGGTGGCAGAGGTTGCAGTGAACCAAGATTGCATCACTGCACTCCAGCCTGGGCGAGAGAGAGAGAGACTCTCTCTAAAAAAAAAAAAAAAGAAAAAAGACTTGTGGGTACTTTCCTTTATGGCATGATTCCTCCTTTTATGGTTTCAGCTTTTAGCTAAACTTGGAGAAAGTGACAATGCTGTTTCATGCCCCACAAAGAAAAAAAACCTTGATCTCTGGCATGAAGAGTCCATTGAAACAAGGTATTGAGACATCAGATATTTAGGATGAAGGTTTCGTGAGGAACCAGGTAAGTAACTTGGATTCTAATCCTGGTTCTGCCCTAACTAGTCATGTGTCTTTTGGGAGGTCATTATTTCTGGATCCCTTTTCCCATTTACAACATGGTAGTGGGTTTCTCAGTGCTTCTGGATCTGCCATTGAGAGGTCTTAGGTGCCCCTGGGCTCATACTCCCTTCCCCTCCTGCTTCCCACCACATTTATGTTCCTTACATGTTTGGGTTGCAATATAAGCTTCTATTTAAAGAAAAGCTCCTTGGCTAGATGATCTAATTATGATGACAGCTGCCATTTTGAATGTTTGTGCTATTGGTTAAGCCTGTGTCATATACAAATCTTTATTTTTCATTCAAAAGAAAAAAGTTAATGCAGTCACTCTTTCCCTTGGTTCTTACATTCTGATTGTTTAAAATGAGACAGGAGTTGAGCCTGGCCTTTCCTGGTGCATGCTTTTGCAACACAGCACACATCAGTGGCAATACCAGGAGAAAAACCCATTGCAGCCTCTATCCTAGTAGTCAAAGAAAGGCTGCCTTGAGATCCCCTTCCTCAAGGTGAATGTCATGCTGGGCAGGTGAGCGCCATCTGCGAAGAAGCGCTCTGTAGGGCGATCATGCAGCCACAGGAGGAGACCCGTAAGCCTGGGTATGTGTAGTTACGGGATTCCCCTGCGTTCGGGGCCTCTCAGCTATCTCCCACCCTTCTGGTGGTTTATCAATCACAAAGAATAAGCCAGTGATTACTATCCAAACTAGTTTTCCTCTTGGAAGCAGTTGTAGGAGATGAATGTCCCAAGGGTAGACAGTGTGGTGCGTCGATCATTCCTGGAGAGGAGCTTGGGTGAGGACACACCAGGTGTTTTCCAAGCATGAGCCTGCTTTCCGCAGGGTCCTGCTGAGCTCACAGGGCCCACAAGGTGGCGCGTGAGCCGCAGAGATGGCGAGGAGCCCCGCGGGCGAAGAGGCTGGGCGGCGGGGTGAGGAGGAACCCTGGAGCCCACCCTGGAGTGTCTCCCTCAGGCCACACCCTCCTCGCAGGTGCTATCCACACCTCACAGTTCTGTGCTTGAATATCCTTGGTCTAATGTCTGTCTCTAGATTTTGCTTCTGTGAAAGCCAGGCCCTGGCTTTCTGCTGGTTCCCTGATGAAGTGCACGGTGAGTGTTTACATTCCTGATACATTTAATTCCATGAGCTACAACATGATGGAATTTCATTTTTAAAGCCCTTACCAGCTCCAAGTATTACAGACAAGCATCCAAGTCTGTGGGTAATCACGTGTTCTACAAAGGACTTGAATCTAGAGTATATAGGAAACTCTCCACTCTCAAAAAATTAACATTCTGTTAGAAAATGGACAAAACACAGACTGATATTTCATGACGGGAGAAGATATCCAACTTCATTAATCATTAGGGAATGCAAACTAAAACCACAATGAGGCTGGACCCCGTGGCTCACGCCTGTAATCCCAGCACTTTGGGAGGCCAAGGCAAGTGGATGACCTGAGGTCAGGTGTTCGAGACCATCCTGGCCATCATGGCGAAACCCCAACTCTACTAAAAATACAAAAATTAGCCAGGCATGGTGGTGGGTGCCTGTAACCTCAGCTACTCAGGAGGCTGAGGCAGGAGAATCGCTTGAACCTGGGAGGTGAAGGTTGCAGTGAGCCAAGATTGCGCCACTGCACTCCAGTCTGGGCAACACAGTGAGACTCCGTCTCAAAAAAAAAAAAACAAAAAACCACAGTGAGACGTTACCACATACCTGTTAGAAAGGATAAAGTGAAAAATAATGATAACACCAAATGCTGGTCAAGGGTGCAGAGAAACTGGGTCATTTGCACATTGCTGCTAGGAATGTAAGCTGGTACAGCTGCTCTGAAAATCGTTTGGCAGTTCTTCATAAACCTTCATAAAATGGACTTGCCATACAACCTAGCAGTTGCATACTTGGCCATTTATTTCAGAGAAATGAAAACTTATTTTCATGGAGAAACTTGTACTTGAATGTTGATAGCCGCTTTATTTTCAAGAGCCCCCAGCTAAAAACCACCAAATGTTCTTTAATGGATGTATGGCTAAACAAACTGGCACAACCATACCATGAAATACTATTCAGCAATAAATGGGAGTGAGCTATTGATCCCTGCAGTAACTTGGATTAATTTCCAGGGAATGATGCTGGGTGAAAAATGTCAACCTCAAAAGAGTATATGCTACGTGATATTTAAAATATGACATTGGTCATATAATTATGAATATTGAAATGAATTACAAATACTGAGAAACATAATTACAGAAACAGAGAGCAAATTAGTGGTTGTCAGGGGTTAAGGATGAAGGGGAGGGAGTAGGTGTGGCTATAAAAGGGCTAGCTGAGGAAGCATTGTGATGATGTTGGAAATCCTGATTGTGGTGGTGGCCACATGGAGCCACACATGTCATAAAATGTCATTGAGTTATGTGAACACACACGAATGAGTGCATGCATAACTGGTGAAATCTGAATAAGCTCTGTGGATTATATCAATTTCAGCTTCCTGGTTTTGGTATTCTAGGGTAGTTAGGCAAGATGTTACCCTTGGGGGAAACTGGGCGAAGGGTACATAGGATTCCCCTATATGTTTCTTGGAACAGCCCACGAATCTTTTCTTCAGTTGTATATATTCAAGTCATACAATGTGATGTTTTGATATATATACATATACACACACACACATAGTGAAATGATTATTACCCTCAAGCCAATTAACATATTTATTATTTCACATAGTTAATTTGTGTTTCTGTGTGGTAAGAACACCTAAAAGCTACTCTCTTAGCTTTTCAGTCTACAATATTATTAACTACCATCCTCATGCTGTGCATTAGATGTTTAGACTTATTCATTGAATATAACTCAACTTTGTACCGTTTGACCTGTGAATCTTTTTTCAAAATAGAAAGTTAAAAAAATAGTGTACTCTAAAGTACAATTGAGACAAAAATGGAAATAAGTAATGTTTACCAAAAAAATTATGGGACAGTGGAAAGAACACTGGTGTAGACCTAAAAGGCTGGATTCAGGTCTTGTTTTGTCCTTGCTAGCGTGGCAATCCTGGGTCAATGCACTCAAGACTCATGAGTTTTGATTGCCTATTGATACTGTGGGAATTATAAGAACTTATCTGCTTATTTCAAAAGGCTATTGTAAAGATTCAATGAGATATTATATATAAAACACCTTTCATAGTGCCTAGAACATAGTAAGTGCTCAATAAATGTTAGTTGTTTTAATAGTATACTTTATAATAATTATATTAAGTATGTGCAAATAGAATGGAAAGTACTGATTGTCTTTGCAGAGAAGCTGGCTGTGTTTTCAGGTTTTATAGTTGACAGACTGTTTGGAAGACCCCTACGCAAGTGTAATTGTGTTCCTAGAGTCTATTGGCAATGGTATTTGTGTGTCTGTATGTGTGTATACTGCTAAATACAGGAAAAATAATTACTAGTTAGAACTTTACCATATCAGTAGTTAGACCAAAGGCAATTTGCATCTTCCTGTTTCTGATGTCTGTTTTCTGCAGGGAACCCAGCAACATCAGGGATTCTTCCAGGTCACTAAGTGACCATTTTAATAGAACTTATTTGCTTTACCCACAGGCTATCAGTGAACAAATTTCCAGAAAATTCTTAGTTGAGCCATAGCATTTAATAACTTTATCATATAATTTGTGATTGTCTTGATAATAATGTTTGAACAAGTAGATGGATATGTTGATGGTGTGGTTTCCACTGCGTATCAAACATTAACTGGCTACTGTGTTATTGGCCTGTTGTTAAAGAGTTTCTGAAAAATAGCTAGTCAGGTCCCTAACGTTGGTTCTCTTTGTCTTTCATGGGAGATACAGAAATGACTTACATTTTGCAGATCCAAACTCAGTTTTCATTAGTTCTACCTTTCTAGTTATTCAGACAGATAGTGGGTCAGTGGTTGGATGGATATTTCTTTGACGTTTAATTTTCCTGCTTCATTGACTTACCTGATCTAGTTGTAGCATAGTTTCTCTTACATTTCTTATTTAAACCCGCATTCTCATTTTGAATTTGTCTTTGGAGTTCTAGACTTATGCAGGGTCTCAGAATTATAGAAGCTTCCATGTATTTGTAGAACAGCCTTCCATTCTAAGGAAGGGCAGAGGGAAGGAAGATCTGCCTTGTTACTGCGTCTTCACTGACCAAGGATGCGGACGTGGACACAAAGTCTGCTCCATTATGTGTGGACCCCTATTCCCAGTATTCTTTGTGGAAAGCACTGGACTTGGGATGCTTGATTACTACAATCCCTCTCCCCTACTCATAGATGTCTGTAACTACCTGTAGTTGTGAAATTCTCTATTTCCACACCTGTGGCATGGTGGCCATCCCAATTCTTTCTTGGTATTTTTGAATCCAACCTCCTCTGAGACACAAAGCTATTACACTTCCCCCCCCCGCTCACTGGAAACATTTGCTGGTTGTAAAAGATTTTGAAAATCATAGATTCCAAACAAAGACAATTGATTTGCTCTTTATTTTCTAGAATTCCCTCCAATTCTCTACTGTTCCTTTTTACATCTCCATGCTCATTTGCATCAAAATTTTTACTTTCACTGCTTGACCCTGATTCCCACCCTAATACTTTGCAGAAGTGTGTGCACATATCTGTGGAGCAGATTGTGCAATGGGTGGGATTTGTGGGCTATTTACCCAGTGAGACAACAAAGCTCCATTCAGACAGAGAGCTCTACCCACGAATTATTCACATAATGTGAAGAATAAATGGGGCTGTTAAAGTTGATGCTATTAGCATGTTAACTCACTTTAAAACCATTTTATTCACGATTAAGTAACAATTGGATGCCGCATTATCAAGGGATCTCTAAATTGCTGTGTATGTTGGCTGGTTCTTCAATTGGCTAATTTCTGAGGGTAGGGCAGGAAGGCAGGAGATGGTGAGGTTTAGCTTCTGAAAGTTGTTAACAGAGTCGTTTTTAACATTGTATAACTACATTTATAAAAAGTAACTTTTAAAAGATTATTGGGCCTTATGAACTGATTCCCTTGACTAAATAATTCAACTAGTCTTAATTAAATATTCTAACTGAGGTTTTTTTAAAATTTAGTTTTTAGTGTACCAGATTGCAAAGTTAATAAGCATTTTTTAAAAACACAGCTGATATCTCTTATCTGTCAGATAGCTTTTTAAGTTATACTAGAAGTAGAGACTTCCTAACTTAAATTGATATTGGACTTGGATTAACTGTTTCTATTCTGTATCAACTCAAGAAATTTGAGACACATTCTGAGTCCAGATCTGCATCACCAATATTAATATCCCAAGACATAAAAATATGTTGTTAAAATAAGAATATCAAAGAATGATGCTTGTCTTGAATACTCAGCAGAAATTAATGTGTAGGATGCATGCAACCCCTTTCTCTTTTGCTATCCTTACCCTGCGTAGACCAGATGCTTTATAATATAGGAGGTTTTTTAATCCTATGGCATATTTTTGAGGTTGTTGTATCCATTCCTGTGTGACAGATGGGGAAGCTGAGGCCAAGAACATTGAAATAACCTTCTGGAGATCACTGATCATATTGAGTTTCTCAGCACGTAGTCCCTGGAATACGTGTGTCAGAATCACTTGTTGTACTGAAATGCAGATTAGGGGCCTCACCTAGAACTTCTAAATGTTTGAAGTTGGAGCACATACATTTTATTTTTTTAAACTGGCCCCCTAGGTTATTTGTGTAAACCCCAAAGTTAGATGATTGTGTCTTACAGCATTGCTACTTCTTGACACACTTGACTTGGCTTATGCACAAGGACTGCATTGCGTAAGTGAATCAGTCTAGAAATGGAGACAGTGGAAGCAATATTTTCTATTTGAAGAATTCGGCCTGAAAGTATTTTGATAATTTTTGTCTTTAGTCATCTACTTTTGCAGTTGGAGCTACTTATGTGCCCCTGTGAAGTTCTACTTACTTTTGACTCTAATGATAGCTGTTTTGGATATCTGGGCCTGATTCTATTACATTCATGTTTTTGAGAGGGAATTTACTACCATGTATTAGTTCAAACCCACGGAAGCAGAAACCACTCTATATCTTTGAACAGAGGGAATTCAATATAGGGAACTGTGTCCATCGATGACAAAAGACTGGAAAAGTCAAGTAGGACACTAAGGCAATAGATGGATTAGGAACAGCAGGAAAACATTGCCTTGTCTGTGAGTGAAGGAACAATTGAAGGAGGTAGTGTGACCATAATAGAGGATCTGGAGCCTTTTGTCAGGTTCTGCAAGATCTAGGGAGAAGATTTTGGTGAGAGCTATTGATGGAGAAGTTGGAAATCGGCCTGAGGCAGTGGAGGGACATAGTAAATCCTGGCTCCCTTCCTCCTTTTCCTTCCTCCTCAGTCTTCCACATGCACCTCTCATTGGCCAAAATCACCAGAAAGCCAGTTGGCATGGGAGCCTGGAAAATGGAATGTCCTGAACACACAGCAAATAGGGGAAGTGGAGGTAATGGATGTGAGAGCAAGGAGGCAAGTGATCAATGAATGCTTCCCTGGGGGAAGGACTGTCTGGTCTGATTGGCCACTAGTTCACTCTCTACCCATGCGAGGAAGAGTAACTAGTTTGTTAAGTATGGCTAAACTGGTTTCATCTGGTACCTGTTGAACTCTGGTTAGCAGGAGCAGGGCCCTTTGCTCCCCACCTCTCTTGCCTCTTAAGTCTTTTCATGCCTGTGTAGCAAGTGAGCATGCAAGCTCTGAGTTCATATGCCCAGGCGGGGCACCCTCATGATCTCATGCAGCGGGGGACAGGCAGCCCTGGACTTCTAGCTTCAGAGAGGGAGGTGACAGGTCCAGTCATATACTCTGTGGTAGCAAGATAACGTCCATGTCCTTACTCTTGGAACCTGTGGATATATTAGGTTGCATGGAAAAGGGGAATTAAGGATACAGATGGAATTGAGTTGTTTATTAGCTGATTTTAAAATAGAGATTATCCTGTAATTGTCAAGCCACAGATAGAAGAATGAGACGATCCTCATCTCTCAGCTTATACAAAAATCAAGTTTAGATGGATCAAGGACTTAAATCTAAGACCTGAAACCATAAAAGCTCTAGGAGATAACATCAGAAAAACCCTTCTAGACACTGGCTTAGGCAAAGACTTCATGACCAAGAACCCAAAAGCAAATGCAATAAAAACAAAGATAAATTGATGGGACTTAATTAAACTAAAAAGCTTCTATGTAGCAAAAGAAACAATCAGCAGAATAAACAGACAACCCACAGAGTGGGAGAAAGCCTTCACAATCTATACATCCAACAAAGGACTAATATCCAGAATCTAGAAGGAACTCAAACAAATTAGCAAGAAAAAAACAAACAATTCGATCAAAAAGTGGGCTAAGGACATGAATAGACAATTCTCAGAAGAAGATACACAAATGGCCAACAAACATATGAAAAAATGCTCAACATCACTAATTATCAGGGAAATGCAAATCAAAACCACAATGTGATACCACCTCACTCCCCTGCAGGAATGGCCATAATAAAAAAATAATAGATGTTGGCATGGATGCGGTGAAAAGAGAACACTTCTACACTGCCAGTGGGAATGTAAACTAGTACAACCACTATGAAAAACAGTGTGGAGATTCCTTAAAGAACTAAAAGTAGATCTACCATTTGATCCAGCAACCCCATTCCTGGGTATCTACCCAGAGGAAAATGAGTAATTATATGAAAAAGATTCTTGCACACACATGTTTATAGCAGTACAACTTGCAATTGCAAAAATATGATACCAGCCCAAATATGCATCAATCAATGAGTGAATAAAGAAATTGTGGTTTATATATATATATATATACCATGGAATACTACTCAGCCATAAAAAGGATGAAATAACGGCATTCACAGTGACCTGGATGGAATTGGAGACCATTATTCCAAGGGAAGAAACTCAGGAATGGAAAACCAAACATCATATGTTCTCACTCATAAGTGGGAGCTAAGCTATGAGGATGCAAAGGCATAAGAATGATACAATGGACTTTGAAGACTCGGGGAGAAAGATGGGAGGGGGTGAGGGATAAAAGACTACACATTGGGTACAGTGCATACTGCTCAGGTGATGGTGCACCAAAATCTCAGAAATCACCACTAAAGAACTTATTCATGTAACCAAACACCACCTGTTCCCCAAAAACCTATGGAAATAAAAAATAAAAAATAAAGAATAAAGAATAAATGATGCCCCTACTACTAATGACAACAATAAGTAAATAAATAAACACATACATACATACATTCATACATAAAACAGATAAAATAGAGATGATCCTGGATTACCTGGGTGGACCCAGTGTAATTACAAGAGTCCTTAAAAGTGGATGACAGCCAGGTGTGGTGGCTCACGCCTGTAATCCCAGCATTTTGGGAGGCTGAGGCGGGCAGATCACCTGAGGTTGGGAGTTCAAGACCAGCCTGACCAACTAAAGCTGGTCTTTTAGTAGAGACCAGCCCGTCTCTACTAAAAATACAAAATTAGCTGGGTGTGGTGGCGCATGCCTGTAATTCCAGCTACTCGGGAGGCTGAGGCAGGAGAATCGATTGAACCTGGGAGGTGGAGGTTGCAGTGAGCCGAGATCATGCCACTGCACTCCAGCCTGGGCAACAAGAGCAAAACTCCATCTCAAAAAAAAAAAAAAAAAAAAAAAAATGGACAAGGGAGGGAGAATGAGCCAGAGGGAGCTGTCACTACAGAATTAAATATGCTATCAAGATTGCTGTCCACATCAAAGGGGAAAGGAACCCCACTTGATCCATCTGGCATAACTGGCTTCTTAGAGGAAGCAACTAGACCTCTTATACCAATCATACACAAAATAAATTTCAAACATACTAAAGATAAAAATATAAGTGACTTAAAACAAGAAATTTGAGGATAATAGTTTGGTAATGTGGGCTGAGGAGGAGTATCTGCTTGAGTAAGACAGAAACATAGAAAGAAAAAGACTCACAGTCCTAGCCACATAAAAATTTAAAATCTCTGTATGTGTAAAGACACCAGAAAAGAAAATTAACATAGGAGCAAAAATCTGAAAGAAAGCGCGGGCAACACAGATAACAAAGGGTGGATTTCCCTCCATGTATAGATGAGAAGGCAACAACTGGGTAGAAAAGGGATACAGGCAATTAACTGTCAGGCAAGTTATAGACAAATGCACACAGTCGTCCAATGTGGAAAGCTGTTGATTTTGGCCTGTAAGCCTCTTTTTTCTTTAAACTCACCTGAGGTTTGCAATTTTTATTTTGATTTCTTCTTTTGTCCAAAAGATTTGAGTATTTTATATTTTCTATATGCTTAGATTTATTTTGACTATCCTATTCTTCACTCTTCTAGTTTCGTTGAGTAATGCTCAAAAAGCATGTTCTGTGTGATTTCTACTTTAGGAAGAATATATGAAGATTATGTTTATTAACTAATAAAATTCTTATTTAATATCCTGTTAGTCCTTTAAAATGCTTATTCTGGTTTTGGGTGTAAAATTTTATAGTTAGTCAATATTATACCAAATTTGTTAGTCTTGTTAATCAAATTCTAAAATCTCATTTTAAAAATTGAATTTATTTTTGAGAAATGTGTTTCTGCTTTTCCAGTTTCTCCTTGAATTTATGTATCTTTTGCTGTAGATATTTTGGTGGTTTGTTATATGCCTGAAGATTTGTGACTGTTGTATTTTCTTTGTGAATTATCTCTTTAATCAATATGAAATTCTTTCTGCTATTTAAGAATGTTTGCTTTGAAATCATATTAGTATTGCTACACGTGTTTCCTTTGTTAGCATTTTCTCCGTGTATCTCATCTATTACTTTATTTATTTTTTTCTTGTGCCATCTGATTTTGGATAAGTCTGTTGTAAACAGCATGCACTTACACTCTCACAATATGCCTTTTAATAGGAAATTTAACCTATTAAGATAACTGATATATCTCAATGATCATCTTTTTAGGTCTCTCTTTAAATTTTCAAGGAAAACCACTTGTCAATGGAAATAAGGTATAAAACTAAATTACTACAGGAAAAAAAGAGAAAAGTTTCTACCAACCAAAGAAGGCTAGAGAGAGGCAATCACCTACACAGAAGGCAGCTTATGCACAAAATCTCCAGCTACCTCCTCATGGCCTTCTGCACGCTCTCCATTCTCCCCAGTCATTCTGTAAAGATTTTTATGACTCCTTTTGAATTTTAGTTATTGATGATTTTTCCTTTTATTAACCTTAATTAGAAGTCAATTCTTCAATATTGCATTAAAGGTAATGATGATATTCACTTAACTGAAAATTTGCTGGCTCTGCCTAAAAAGTAAAAGGCACCAGACATAGCCATGAAATTGCTTGCTGTGCTATTGCTGTGGGGTTGCAGGATTTATACTGCCATCATAGTGGACTTCTATATTTCTCAGTTTTCTGGGAGATGGAAGCAAATTGTCTTGGTGATGAAGAAGTTTTTTGGAATTTGTAAAATTTTTGAAATTAGTTCCCTGTTTGTGGCTGTTTATTCTAATAGCTGGTGATTATTCATTGCCTGTTAATGTTTCTTTACACTTTATGGCAGGTCCTGATTAATCAATGGGAGTGAAGTATCTGAGAACTCTAAGGCTCAGCATTCATTTCCTTAGGGTACCCCTCACCCTGCCAGGGAGGAGGTACCTATAAGAGGCCTTCCCCTCGAGAACAGTTAGGCAATGGTTCCTGTTGAGGATTCGAGGGTCCGTGCCTCCCGTTATCCTGCCTAGGTCTTAGCTGATGCACCTTATGTGCAGAGAAAAAGCTAGTAGAACAGAGAGAACTTTATCTAAAGCGACAAGAGTGTCCTGTAAGCCCTAAAAGGCAAGTCCTGCCTATTAAAACTGTTTTGAAGTATGTACTTTTCTGAATAATTATATTTCCATTAAGAAAAAAACTGGATTGAAGATTGGCACTTGCCTTCAAGGTAGCTGGGATCTGCCTCAAACTCAAGACTTAATCTGATGAATCCATCCTTAGAATTGATGCATCCTGAGTTGATAAATCTGTCTTTGTTACAAGCAGAGATGCTGGAAGAGAGAAGTGCTACCTTCAGATGGCCTGTGTACCTGGGCAGAAGCAGAGGGAGCAAGGAGTGAAGGTGGCAGAGGCATAGGCATCTGTCACACCTGCACAGGGGACAAGCACTTGGCCCATTCTTGCTTTTGAGACCCAGTGAAATAGGAGCCTCAGGTCCTAACCAGTTACACGATTGCATCTTCCTTCCTTGGAGAGGAAACAGAAAAGACTTAAGTAAGCTCTTGCTGGAGGGAGAGGGAAGAATGGGAATCTCACCTGAGAGGGGCAAGGAAAAAGCGCTGGAAGGGCAGAGCACTTCTCACTTCACTCACCCCTTCTGCCGCTGTTGTCCTGGCCGCTTTGTCTACATCCTCGTAGCTGCTATTGTGCTGGGGCTGGTTTGTCTGCATTCTCATTGTGGGAGTCCGTTGCCTATTCACACCCAGTTGTCCACATCCATCGTCTTTCTACTATGTGGAAGTTCCCCAAATATTATTTTTCCTGTTTGCACTCTTTTTGTTTTCTAATGACCTGTAGATTGTTCTTGTCTCTTTTGTTTCTGTGGAAATTTAGGGAGGAGGAGATATAAACATGCGGACTTTATCCACCTTCTTGAAATAAAAAGGTGACGGGTGAGGAGAGGGATTCCAGGGAGAGGTCAAGGGGAGACAAGGGACGTGAAGCCAACTGCTGAACAACACCTTGAGAACTGAGAGGCTTGGGACAAGATGAAGTAGAGCCATTCCTACCTTCAAAGATTTTATAATGTTGAGGTGGAGACAACATCAGCTCTGGAGTAATTGGAGAGACCCAGAGCATGAGTGGTGTGCAGAGGCAAGCCATGCTCTGGCACAAGGTTATGTCTCTGTTCTTCATTTCAGCCTCTACACGCCTATGGCTGCCATTCTAGAATTCCTGTATTCTCCTTTTCAGTTTAATTCTTCTCCTCTTTCAAAAGCAGGAACCCATTCATGTGCTCCGTGGAAACCCCTTCAGACCATTCTCATCAACAATGGAAATCAGTCCAGTCCATGTCTTTTGAATCAACACCTTTTGTGCGCTGAGATGCAGAGGTGAATGCTCCAGCCTGTCTTCTGAGGAGCATATGCATCTCTCCTTCTTGGGGATGGCTTCAGGGCTTACTGTTTCTACTGCTCTTTCACCCTTACAGCACCCTTTAAAGCATGTGTATCTTATGCATTCCTTGATGCTGTCACTAATTCATACTAATTAATTCCTTGGGAAATTGTCATATGCTCTTTGTATCTTAAGGAGTATTTGTGGGAGTCAGTTGCCTATTCACCATCTTTGTGTGCTCTGCCGTGGATAACAGCTACATCTCTTAGCCTCCCCTGCCCTCTGCCAATGGACACTCTAGTGTAAGACAGGA
The DNA here is from genome assembly GCF_000001405.40 of Homo sapiens. Lineage (NCBI taxonomy): Eukaryota > Metazoa > Chordata > Mammalia > Primates > Hominidae > Homo > Homo sapiens. The sequence goes on from NC_000007.14 coordinate 153,204,853, forward strand.
GGGTGGAATGAGGGAAGTCAGGGCTTTTTCACCTGCTTTCTATCGCAGGCAGCACCTCCTCGGTGCTTTGGCTCTTGTAGGGGCAGCCCTTTCCCTTCTCTCTGTACTCCTGACTGTGGTCAGGCAGCTCCCCTGTGCTTATCCAGCTCTTAGCCCTGGGAGACCTGCCTCATACCCAGGACTCGGAATGGCACCTGCTGTTGCTAGAATCTAGCTTGCCTCATTGTCTCTTTAGGCATCCCCATCTTCTGATACCTGCATAAGCTGTTCCCCATATTAAATTCCCTTTGTGTGAAATCCTAGCCTGGTTTCTGTTTTCTGACCAGACCCTGACTGATACAGTATTCCTCTAATCTCTCAATACTTGATTTATTGATTAAAAGAATTGTGCTGCCTCTACATGCCAGGCACTGTGCTAGATGCCACGGATTGAAAAATCAAAAGAGAAATCACTGAATAAACATCTGTTGTCTTGAAATTTGATGACTGGAAAAAAAAGTGTGTGAGAGGCATCATCCCTGCCTTGAGCCCCTGCCATGCCCTTGGGCACTGAATATTTTGTACATTTGTATGTTTTGACTGAAGATTGAAAGAGTACTCCCAAGGAAGGATATTTCAGAATATAGACAGCTGTGTTTCCACTAGTAGTTAAATGTCATGTTCCTGATTGGAAGTGAGCTCTGACTCTGTAGTGACCAAATATGGTGGTGGCAGCTGAGGAGTTAAACTTGAATTTTAGATGAGGTTGAAATTTCACATCCGACCCATTCACGGTGGCTTGCAAGGAGTGCACTGCTGCTCGGCGGGTATAGAGAACCAATTTATGCTTCACCTCTGGCACTTTGAAGAGCACAAATGTCCTAAAATTCCTTTATATTCTTGGAACAAGCATATTCACTATCATTGCCGAACATTTCTAGCAGCCTTTGCCCAAGTATTCAAAGTGGAGTGAAACCCTTGGGATAGCACTGACCCAATCAGAATGCCGAGTACCACTTATAAGCCAGCCACCATATCTTACCCACAGCAGGAGTTCTTGATGGGAACTGATTTCAGAAATTGAATTAGGAGGACCCTCGTCAGATAGTGCTTTGTGCTTGAGCTACAATTCTTTAGGTATAGCACAGTGTGGCTTCCCGCTCAAGCTCTGCACTGTCCTCATACAATTTGATGGATCGTTTAGCATTTATCAGCCTCTGAAGCTCCATGCCCAGAAGTGACATTTCCCTGGATTCAAAGTCTTTAAAAGCTTAGAGGAGTGCTAGATGAGATGGGTGGGTGATTTATTAGGCTGCTGGGCTATTTGGAGTTTCTTTGACTGTGGAGCAAATGTTGCTTAGTGCCCTGGATGATGATAAATGATGCTCTCATAGGAGCTTGATCTCAGAGAAAGTCTCTCTCAGTTTGGTGAGCTGTATAATTTCTTTGGTGTAGGGCAAAGTTCTTAATATTTCAGTTTTTGAGGGGGAGTCATGGACCCCTTAAAAATTTGTTAAAAGCTTTAGACTCTTTCACTAGAAAAATGCATTTGCACATAATTTTGGATATAGTCTCATATAGTCCCTCTTAAATCCTTAAGTCCAGGGGCTCTAGATTAATACTTATGAACATAGAATTTGAACAATAATGCATGTTAGAGAAACTGGTAGGCACCCTGTGCCTAAGAGGCTTGTCATATGATGCAGTTCCATGCCCGGCTTCTGGCCTTTTGGAGCATACATTCCACTGATACTGGAGAGGTGGCAAAGGCTGTGTATTCATGGTCACAGCAAGTCAAAGTTTGTGCTTGGGCAAAAGGCCTGAGAATTTTCTCCTCTGTGGTATAGCTAGGTGATATCTGGTGTTTTTTATTTTGTTGCAAACATTTCCCTGTGGCTTCTATTTCTGTCACTGTATAGAAACCAGTCTTGTCAAATTTATCCACAACCTCAGTCTTTCCAAACCTGACATTTTATTCTTCCTCTCACTTGGCAGCTTAGCAGCGTCTGACATGGTTCCTTCCTTGAAAATCTTCTCATTCTTAGCTTCAAACAGGGTTTCCTGCTACTTCTCTGGCCTCTTCTCCTCAGTCTCCTCTGTAGGCTTCTCCCAAACTGCCTGCATCGTAAATGCTGGGGTGTCCCAGGGCTTTGATCTGAGATCTTATTTCATCTCTGTCTTCATTTATTCTTTCAATGGTTCTATCCAGTTCTATTGCTGTGAAAATCTCCTGGATGCTGGTGCTTCCAGTCCTGACCACTAAGCTGAGTTCTGACTTATGTGTCCAACCACTTACTTGAAACCACTACTTGGGTGAATACACATCTCAAAATTCATTTGTCCAAGTAAAGTTCATGGCTGCCATTTTTCTGAAGTGGGGGAGGCTGGAAGAGAACCATTTGGGGTTCAAGTGGAGAGGTGACAGGTTACTGGCTAAACATTTACAGAACACCCTTCACTTGATATCTTTTACCTTACCTTGACCGTCTGGTTCATCTGCAAACGCAGTCAGACCTTCATCTCCAACATAGATCACCATTGCATTGGCTTTCTCCATTTTTGTTACTGTAGACCACATTGCCTTTGCTTTTCTTCTGGTGTAAGACAAAAGCTTCCTTGAAGGTCTCTCTGCTTCCTCTTTCACCCATTCCAGTCATTCTTCCACTGGCAACTACAGTGACTTTTCAAGCCTTCATTTGCCTCCTAAGACCTATCAGGGGAGTCTGATTGTCAGAATGAATAGGCTTCTTGTCATCTGTGGCCCGTCATTGACTCCCTGTCTCTTACCCTCACACTCTGCACTATGTTGTAGCTAGGCTCAATGATTTTCTTTCTATTTTTTAAACATGTGAGGCTCTTCTCCTTCTTTGGGATTATAGAGAAAATATGACACAAATTAATTAATTTTCACATTATGATGCCTTATCTGAATCAGATTTCAAGCTCCTTGAGAGCAAAGACCCAATGTAATGCTGTCTCCAACATCCCTACCTTTCCCTCTGGCCTCTTCCCTTTGTCTGTGTCTAGGACAGTGATTTGTACCATTTCATTTGACAGTTTGTTTTCTGGGCATCTACTATGTGTCAGGTTACAATTACGTGCTCGGAGCTTAGTAGATGTTAGATGTTGAGGTTGTTTCTCTCTTACTTTAGAACACATGCCATTGCAGGATGAGGATGGGAGTAAGGAGACACCCATGGTGATAAATAAGGGGAGTGTCAGTGCAGATTTTCAACTTCGGTAGAACTTCATTATTCTAATGAATTTTGAAAACTATCATGAGCTAACTTTATTGCTTTGGATCAGTAATTGACTAAATAGTGCCTTAGTTGTTTGCGAGAGTAAATATAATTTCCCAAAGTGCTAAATTCACTCCTAGGCTGTAGCTGAGAGACTCACACTTAATGGAAAATAATGATATCCCTAACTAGAGTAGACAACAGGCAAGGTAAACCCTTGCTTATCTTCCTTTCCTCTGATAAACATCTTCTACTAAGAATTTTGTCTGAAACACAGCAGAACAGTAAATCAAAGCACGTTAAAGAGGGAAATATTACTCTTTCAGCAAAAGACTACCTTCAGACGTAAACACAACAACTACAAAATGTTAGGTGTAAGGCCATGTCTGTTCAGGTGTTATACTTGGATGTGGAGAATGTACCTTATATCTTTGCTTCAAGGCTTTGTCTTAAAACAAATACATTTAAAGCAAGTCTTGCTAGGTCATCACCAAAAGCTTCCTTGCTAATGCAAGTGGAATTAGCTACCAGGTATAAACATTGCATAGAAGCTTAGCTCTCGGAGTTTAGTAAGCAAGCTTAAGCATTTCCCGTAAATTTTAAGCTGTTAGTTATAAAAGAGCAGAGCAGCTTGGCATCTTAGGTGGAATGAGGATATTCCATTCTGGTTAAAAATCATAAGGGGCTTATGGAAATGAGTGGCGTGGTGTTAGTTATCTTGAAAAATGTAAGTATATATTTTCATTTTCTGCTCAAATAAAATTGGAATCAGAGAAGAGGAAACTTAGGCAAACCCGAGGGATTTTTTTCTTCTTTTCTGTCAGAAGAGTGAAGTCTGCGGTGTAAGCCTGTATCCAGGACCTTTTATTCCCCACAATTTTTTTTTATTGTGGTAAAATATCACATAACATAAAGTTTATTATCTTAGCCATTTTAAATTTACAGTTCATTGGCATTAAATACATTTATAATGTTGCACAACCATCACCACCATCTGTCTCCACGTCTCTTTTCATCTCACAGAACTGAAACTCTGTACCCGCCAAACAGTAGCTCCCCATTCCCTTCTACCCCAGCCCCTGGTAACCACCATTCTACTTTGTCTCTGATTCTAATGTAAATATCTCATGTAAGTGGAATCATAAAGCATTTGTCTTTTTGTGATTGGATTATTGCACGTAGCATAATGTCTTCAAGTTTCATCCGTGTAGTACATGTGGCAGGCTTTTCTTTCTTTGTAGGGCTAACAATCCATTCTCTGGGTAGACCGCATTTTGCTTATCCATTCATCTGTTAATGGACACTGGGGTTACTTCCACATTTAGATATTGGGAGTAATACAGCTATAAACAAGGTTGTACACGTATCTTTTGGAGATGCTGTTTTCCATTCTTTTAAGTATATACCCAGAAGTGTAATTGCTGGATCACATAGTAATTATATTTTTAATTTTTTCGGGAAACAACGTACTGTTTTCTACAGTGGCTGCAACAGTTTACATTCCCATCAACCATGCAAAAGGGTTCCAATTTCCCCACATCCTTGCCAATACTTGTTATTTTCTGTTTTTATTTTATTTTATGGAAGCCATCCTAATGGGTGTGAAGTAGTATCTCATTGTAGTTTTGATTTACATTTCCCTAATAATTAGTGATGATGAACATTTTATCATGTGCTTATTGGCCATTTTATATATTCTATGGAGAAATGTCTATTTAAGTCCTTTGCCCATTTTTGAATTGAATTGTTGTTTATTGTTGTTGAGTTTTAGGAGTTCTTTATATATTCTGGATATTAATCTCGTAATAAATATATTATTTGCAAATATTTTCTCCCATTCTGTGGGTTGCCTTTTTACTTTGTTGATATTGCATTTAGATGCACAAAATTTGTAATTTTCATGAAGTCCAATTTGTCTATTTTTTATTTCGTTGCCTGTATTTTTAGTGTCATAATCAAGAAATCATTGCCAAGTGCAATGTCATGAAGCTTTTGTCCTATGTTTTCTTCTATGAGTTTTATACTTTTAGGTCTTACATTTAAGTCTTCGATCCATTCTGACTTTGTATATGGTGTTAGGTAAAGAGCCAACTTTATTCTTTTGCATGTGGATATTTAGTTTTCCAAGCACTATATGTTGAAAAAATCATCTTTTCCCCATTATATGGTCTTGGCACCCTTGTTGAAAGTCATTTGATCATATTATATGAGTATGTATTTCTGGGCTTTCTATTCTATTCCAGTGGTCAATATGTCTGTCTTTATGCCAGTATCACACTGTTTTGATTACTGTAACTCTGTAGTAAGTTTTGAGATCAGAAAGTGTGAATCTTACAACTTTGTTTTCTTTGCAAGATTGTTGTGGTTACTTAGGGTTCCTTGAGATTCCATATTAATTTTAGAATAGATTTTTCTACCTCTGCAAACAATCATTGTGGTTTTGATAGGAACAGCATAAATCTGTAAGTTGCTTTCAATAGTTTTGTCATCTTAACAGTATTGTCTTCCAATCCATGAACATGGGGTATGTTTCCATGTGTTTGTGTCCTCTTTAGTTTCTCTATATTAGCAATGTTTTACTGTGTTCATTATACAAGTCTTTCACCTCCTTGGTCAAATTAATTTCTAATTATTTTATTCTTTTAGATGTTATTTTAAATGGAATTGTTTTTGTAAATTCCCATTCATATTGTTAATTGTTAGTGAATATAAATGCAACTGATTTTTATGTGTTGACTCTGTACCTTGCTTCTTTGCTAAACCTATTAATTCTAACAGTTTTTTTTGGGCGGGGTGGGGAGCGGGAATCTTTAGAGTTTCCAATATGTAAGATCATACCGTCTCTGAATAGAGATCATTTTACTTCTTCCTTCTCAATTTAAATACATTTTATATATTTTTCATGTCTAATTTCTCTGGCTAGAATATCCAGTATGATGTTGAATAGAAATGATGCAAGTGAGCATCTTTGCCTTGTCCCTGATCTTGGAGGAAAAGCTTTCAGTCTTTCCTCCATTGAGTATACACTGTTTGCTGTGGGTTTCTCATATGTGGCTTTTTATTATGTTGAGGTAATTTCCTTCTATTTCTGGTTTCTTGAGTGTAATTTTGTCAAGTGCTTTTTCTGCATCTCTTAAGATAATCACTTGGCTTTTCCCCTTCATTCTATTAATGGATTGTGTTACACTGACCAATTTTTGTATGTTGCACCATACTTGCAACTTAGGAATAAATCCTACTTTGTCATAGTGTATGATTCTTTTAATATGCTGTTGAATTTGATTTGCTAGTAGTTGCTTGAGAATTTTTACATCAATGTGCATAAGAGATATAGTTTTCTTTTCAATGGTATCTTTGTTTGGCTTTGATTTCAGGGTAATGCTGGCCTAACAGAATGAGTGAGGAAGTGTTCCTTCCTCTTCAATTTTTTGGAAAAGTTTGAGAAAAATTGGTGTTAGTTCTTTAAATGTTTGGTAAAATTCACCAGTTAAGCCATTAGTTCCAGGGTGTTTCTTTTTTAGGAGATTTTTGATTACTGAATCAATCTCTTTATTAGTTATAGGTCTATTCAGATTTTCCGTTTCTTTGCAATTTAGTCTTGGTAGGTCTTGTTATTCTAGAAATTTGTCCAAATTAGGTTATTCAATTTTTGTTGTACTATTGTACATAGTACTCTCTTATAATTCTTTTTATTTCTGTAGAACCAGTAGCAATGTCCCTGCTTTCATTTCTGATTTTAATAATTTGAGTATTCTCTCTTTTTAAATTTGAATTCATCTAGCTAAAAGTTTCTCAATTTTGTTGATCTTTTCAAAGAACCAGCTTTGGTTTTATTGGTTTTCTCTATTGTTTTTGTATTCTCTATTTCACTTACCTCTGTTCTAATCTTTATTATTACCTTCCTTCTGCTAGGTTTGGGTTTAGTTTGTTGTTCTTTTTCTGGTTTCTAAAGTTGTCAAGTTAGGTTGTTAATTTGAAATCTTTTTTTTTAATGTAAGTGTTTATAGCTATAAAATTTCTTCTTAGTAGTGCTTTCATTGCATTCCATAAATTTTGGTATGCTGTGTTTTTGTTTTCATTTATGTCTAAGTATTATTTTCTAGTTTCCCTTGTAATATCTTCTTTGAGCTATTGGTTGTTTAAGAGTGTGTTATTTAATTTCCACAAATTTGTGAGTGTTTAGTTTTATTCCTGTTATTTATTTTTAACTTCATCTGTTGTGGTTGGAGAAGATATGTTGCATGAAATCTATCTTTTAAAATCTACAGGGCTTAATTGGTGGGCCAGCATATGGCATATCCTGGAAAATGTCCCATGCGCACTTACGAGGAATGTGTATGTTGTCACTATTGGGCAGAGTGTTCTGTATATGTGTGTTATATTTAGTTGGTTTATTGTATTGTTTAAGTCCTCTCTTTCCTTATTTATCCTCTGTATGTTGTTCTATCCATTACTGGGGGGGGAGCATTGAAGTCTTCAACTATTATTATAGAACTATTTTGCCTTCAATTATGTCAGTTTTGTTTTGTCTGTTTTAATAGTCTGTAATTAAGTGTTTAAATATTTATAATTGTTATAATTTCTTGTTTTTTTGAGATAGGGTCTCACTCTGTTGCCCAGGCTGGAGTGCAGTGGCACGATCATAGCTCACTGCAGTCTCTACTTCAAGGCTCAAACAATCCTCCCTTCTCAGTCTCCCAAATAGCTGTGACTACTGGCACACACTACCACACCTGGATTTTTTTTAAAACTTTTGGTAGAGATGGGGCCTCACTATGTTGTCCAGAGTGGTCTGGAACTTCTGAGCGCAAGTGATTCTCTCATGTTGGCCCCCCAAAGTGCTGAGATTACAGGCTTGAGCCACCATGCCTGGCCTATAATTATAACTTCTTACTCTATTGACATTTTTATTAATATATGTCTTTCCTTGTCTTTTGTAAATTTTTAAAAATCTGCAACTTTTTGGGCAATCATATGATGCCCAAAGGAAATGCTCATTGGAGCATTTTAGATTCTGAACTTTTGAATTTGGGATGCTGAATCAGTAACTGTAATGCAAATATTTTAAAATAAAAAATCTAAAATTTAAAACGCTTCTGGTCCCAAGTATTTTAGATAAGAGACATTGAACCTTTATAGCCATCCCTGCTCTCTTTTGGTGAGTATTTGCATGAGTTCTTCAACCTTTTTCCATCCCTTCACTTTCACCCTATTTGTGTCTTTGGATCTAAAGTGAGCCTCCTGTAGTCCTCATATAATTAGATCATGTATTTTTATGCATTCTGCTACTCTTTGTCTTTTAATTGGACAACGATAAGAAAGGACTTACTTTTGTCATTTTACTACCTGTTTTCCATACATCTTATGGCTTTTTTGTTTCTCATTTCTTACATCACTGTCTTTTTTTGTGTTTGTTTGATTTTTTTGGTATTGAAATGTTTTATCATTTCGTTTTGTGTATGTTCTATAGCTATTTTCTTTACGGATATCATAGGGATTACATTTAACATCCTAAGGTTGTAATACTCTAATTTAAATTTATATTAGTTTAGGCCGGGCGCAGTGGCTCACACCTGTAATCCCAGCACTTTGGGAGGCTGAGGGGGCGGATCACAAGTTCAGAAGATCGAGACCATCCTGGCTAACATGGTGAAACCCCATCTCTACTAAAAATACAAAAAATTAGTCGGGTGTAGTGGCAGACGCTTATAGTCTCCCAGCTACTTGGGAGGCTGAGGCAGGAGAATGGCGTGAACCCAGGAGGCGGAGTTTGCAGTGAGCTGAGATCGTGCCACTGCACTCCAGCCTGGGCGACAGAGCAAGACTCCATCTCAAAAAAAAGATAATAATAAATTTATATTAGTTTAACTTTAACAACATACAAATATTCTGCTTTTTTACAGCTCCATCCCCACTCCTTTTAGTTGTTGATGTCACAAAATTATATCCTTTTATAAGCATACCTAATTTTTTTGTCTTTATTGACCTTCTTTATTGCCCTTTGTCTTGAATTTTTTACAAATTGATGGTTTGCAGGAACCCTGTGTTGAGGAAGTCTATTGGCATGATTTGTTTTCAACAGCATGTGCTTACCTCATTAGCATTTTAAGAAATACAATATTTTTAAATTGAAGTATGTGCATTTTAAAGACATAATGCTATTATATACATAATAGACAACAGAATGGTATTAACATAACTTTTATATGCACTTGGAAACCAAAAAATGTGTGTGACTTTCTTTATTACGATATTTGCTTTATTGTGGTAGTCTGGACCTGAACCCATGATATTTCTGATGTAGGTTTATACATAGTGTGTCTCAAAACATAAGCTAATAATTCTTTAAAATGCATTAGTCTCTTAAATTATGTAGAAAACAAAATGTGGAGTTACAAAACAAAGTTATAATCATACTAGCTTTTAGATTAATAATTGTTATTCTTTCAATGTATTAGTCTATGCTCTAATCTTTATTTCCTTCTGCTGTTTGGGCTTACTTTGATCTTTTTCTACTTCCTTGAGGTTTAACTTTAGGTTGTTTATTTGAGATAGTCTTCTTTTTGATGTAAGTGTTTATTACTATAAAATTCCCTCTCAGAATTGCTTTTGCTGCATCCCATAAATTTCTGTATGTTGCATTTTCATTTTAGCTTGTCTCAAGATATTTTTACATTTCTCTTTTAATTTCTTGCTTGACCCATTGGTTTTTCAGAAGCAAGCTGTTTAATTTCCATTTATTTGCAAGTTTCCCAATATTTCTCCTGTCACTGATTTCTCTTAAATCACATAGAAAATAGACTGTTGTTATAACAAAACTAGCTTTTAAAATCGTCCATGTACTTACCGTTGTTGGGATCTTTACTTTTTCTCAAACTCCTGACCTTGTGATCCACCCGTCTCGGCCTCCTGAAGTGTTGGGATTACAGGCATGAGCCACCGCACCCAGTCTTATTTTTTTATATAGCTTGGAATTACTGTCTAGTGTCCTTTCATTTCACCCTGCAGGACTCTGTTGAGCATTTCTTGTAGGGAAGGTCTAGTAGTTATGAACCCCTCAGCCTTTTTTTTATCTGTGAATGTCTTAATTTCTCCCTCACTTTTGAAAACATGGTTTTGCTGGATATAGGATTCTTGGTTGACAAGGTTTTTTTTGTTTTTTTTGTTTTTAAACACTTTGCAGGTATTGGTCCACTGCCTCATGGCTTCCAAACTTTTGCATGATAAATCTATTGTTAATCTTAGTGACAGTCACTTACATGTGATGAGTTTCTTGTCTCTTGCTGTTTTTGAGACTCTGTTTTTAAACGTTTGATTATATTGTGTGGATCTTTTTGAGTTTTTCTTACTTGAAATTTGTTGAGCTTCTTGAATTTTATATTCATGTCTTCCATCAAGTTTGGGAAGTTTTCAGTGATTATTTTAAAAATATTTTCTCTTCCCCTTTCTCTCTCTCTTCTCCTTCTGGTATTCCCACAATGCATGTGTTGGTTCCCATGATGAAGTCTCACATGTCTCTTTGGCTCTATTTGCTTTTATCCAATTATTTTTTCTTTCTATTGCTCAGACTTGATAATTCCTATTGTCCTATTTTCAAGTTCTCTGATTCTTTCTTATCCTTGCTCAAATCTGCCTTTGAATCCCTCTCTAGTAAATTTTAAATTTTAGTTATTGTACTTTTCAGCTCCAAGATTTCTTTTTGTTTGTTTTTAAGCTTTCTTTCTCTTTATTGATATTTCCATTTTGTTCATACATCATTTTACTGACTTTTTCTTTATCTTCCTTTAGTTCTTCAAACATCTCTAAGATGGTTATTTAAAACTTTTTGTCTAGCAGATCAGTCATCAGATCTTTTTCAGGGACAGTTTCTGTTGGATAATTTTTTCCTTTGAATGTGCCATGTTTTGCTGTTTCTTCATATGCTTTACAGTTTTTGTTGTTGTTGTTAAAGGCTGGACATTTGAATCTAATAATGTGGGAGCTCTGGAAAGCAGATTCTCCCCCTTCCCTAGAGTTTGCTGTTTTTGTTATTGTTTTTGTTTATTGTTTTCATTTTTTGACTATTGTAGTCTTTCTCTGTGCCAAGGAAAAATACCAATTCCAGCTTTGACAACTGTAAGATGATCCCAGTGTCATGCCAGGTCCTTCCGTATTTCGTACGCTCCAGAAAACATCATGATGAGAGTGAGTCAGCCATTAAAAACAAAACGAGGAACATCCAAGCTGGCACCTTGCCGAGTTGCTGGCAAACCCTGTGCTTTCCTGCCCCGCTGCTCTGCATGCGGCCACATCACCCTTTTTTTTTCTATCATATTATGATTCCAATGTCTGGGTAGATCATCTCAATTGGGGGAACATTCCACCTGCAAGCTAAATCAGTGTGGATTTGTTTTCCCTCACTATCCATCTTTCAGTTCAATCATTTAGCAGTAAGAATATCAATAATGAACATATTATGGGGAGGACTTGGCAATCTACTGTCAGTGCGAGGCCTTCAGAAGCTGGATGCCACCCCTCGGCCAGCTCGTAAATCCTGCTTTGGTGCATTCCCTGTCCAGCCTCCTGAGTGAGTGCTGACATTACTAGCACTGCAACTTACCAGTGACTAAGGGGTGTCATTTTAAATAAAAAAGCCCTCTGGGTGCGGTGGCTCACGCGTGTAATCTCAGCACTTTGGGAGGCCGAGGTGGGTGGATCACCTGAGGTCAGGAGTTTGATACCAGCGTGGCCAACATGGCAAAACCCCGTCTGTACTAAAAATATAAAAATTAGCCAGGTGTCATGGCCAGCAAGTGTAATCCCAGCTACTCGGGAGGCTGATGCGGGAGAATGGCTTGAACCCAGGAGGTAGAGTTTGCAGTGAGCCAAGATAGCACCACTGCACTCCAGCCTGGGTGACAGAGCAAGACCCTGTCTCAAAAAATAAAATAAAATAACATTAAAATAAAAATAAAAAAATAAAAAAGCCAGGCAAGCTTTCCAAACTGCAAGCTCCCTCCTGCTTGGCCATCTGTCTTTCCCTCCCTGCACCCAACTCTTCTCACTCTGCGCATAATGGTTTCTCATCTGGATGGAAGTTGGCTCTTGGCAGCTCTCATGCACGGTTACCTGCGGAGCCAGCCTTCTGCACCGCTGATGAAACATCATGAGCTGATGATGAAACATCATGAGCGGCTGCATCCACAGCGAAGGGGGTTCTCTCTGTCCTGGACTCGCTCTCAGTGTGGTGCTGATAGCCTACTCCCAGTTCGTCACAAGGGGGCTGGCTTCACAAGTCCAGTTTTAAATTTTTACAAAACCTGTAACTCATGAAGATTTTCCTGCCCACAATGTTGGAAGTCCCTTGTGATTGTAACTGGAAAGTTTCAATATTGGTGATGATTTAAGATACGAATGTTAGGGGGTTGTAAGCAATACATAAATAAGTTATTACATGTGAATGGCTTCAAACGGTGCCTGATCCGTGGTAAGCACTACATGTGTGTTCGTAACGTACCACTGTTTGCATCCAGAATCATCACTAATGGGGGAACTCTGCAGTCACAACACAGGTGGACAGGTTCCACACACTCCCTATCTAAAGCCCTTCAGACCAGATGTGGTTTGAATAAATCTTTTCCTATCTTTTTATGCTGCCTATACCACATATAGTGTTACATCCTCAGCAGCACCTTATTATTAAACATGTTACCATTTTCTCAAAGCAGTATATGAATATTTATGATTAGTCAGGAAAGCCTAGACTATAAATTGTCTAATTTTAGTTCAGGTCAAAGTGATGCTGAAAAGTTATGAAACCACATTTCTCGAGCTTCTTGTGTTTTCGAATTGTGAATATGGGATTATGGACCTGTGTTAGTCAAGGTTCTCCAGAGAAACATCACACACACACACACACACACACACACACACAATGGAAATTGGATCATGTGATTGTGGAGGCCAAGAAGTCCCACAATCTGCTTTCTGCAAACTGGATAACCATGCCAGGTGTGGTGGCTCATGCCTGTAATCCAAGCACTTTGGGAGGCTGAGGCCAGCAGATTACTGGAGTCCAGAAGTTCGTGACCAGCCTGGGCAACATGGCAAAACCCCATCTCTACCAAAAATACAAAAGTTAGCCGGGCACAGTGGCACACACCTGTAGTCCCAGCAACTCGAGAGAGGGTGTCCCACTGAGATAGGAGCATCACTTGAACCTGGGAGACAGAGGTTGCAGTGAGCCGAGATTGCAGCACTGCATCCCAGCCTGAGCAACAGAGCCATACCTTGTCTTAAAACAAACAAAAAACAAACAACAAAAATACCTGGAGAACCAGAACAGCCAGTGGCTTCAGACTCAGTTTGAGTCTGAATACTTGAGAACAGGAGTGCCGGTGTCCGAGGGCAGGAGAAGATGGATGTCCTGGGTCCAGAAGAGAGAGCACATTCATACTTCTGCTGCCTTTTGGTTCTATTTGGGCCTTCGAGGGATGGGCTGGTGCCCACCCACGTTGGTGAGGGGAGATCTCCCTTACACAGTCTGCTGATTCAAATGCTAATCTCTTCTACAAACACCTTCACAGGCACACCCAGAAATAATGTCTCACCAGCTACCTGGGCATCCTTTCATCCAGTCAGACCGACACTTAAAATTAACCATCATAGGACCTGTGTTAGTGTCCCTGGTCTACAGAAGAGGAACCTGAAGCAACCAGAGGTACCAAACCTCACCCAAAGTCAGAGCAGGACTTTGGATGCAGACAGTGGTCCCAGGCTTCCACTCTTACCTAATGTGCAGCAGAAGCTGTCTGGTAAGACTGTGTTGATATGGAGCTCAACTAGGGCTTATGCCTTTGTTGTTTTCTTTGTATTGAAGATGCAATTGTGGAAGGATTGAGATTGTTTGCAGAGTGGCTGTGTGCAGAAGGAGAGCAACCTTTAGGGGACCCTTGAATTTGACTGCCTTATTTGGGACAGAGGCAGCCTCAGCTTTGCCCTTTCTTGTGATTCTTTGCCTCTTTCTCTGTCTTCTGCCCAATTTGTCTTGCCACATGCCTGTGCCCTGACTGCCACTTGGTGTCCTACTCAGATCCCCTGTCCTGCCCCCAGAGACCCAGGGAATGGCCCTGCATGACAAAGACTCCCTGTGCCTCTGCCTCCTCTCGACCTATGAGGGATGGGAGATTATGGACAAATATGCCAGCAGCCTCGGCCCTCAATAGGAAGGTTCAGAGGGGCGTTGGATCCTCACTTTCTCACAGCAGTAAACCACTCATGAATGCACTGTTATTGCCTTTGCTGTCTTCCCTGTCTCACTTCCCTGCTCCTAGTAGGCATTGCATGCTGTGACCATGGGTCATCAAATGCTGTGTGACTGGAGCTGCCCGTCAAGAACTGGGCATTGTCAGATCCACCGAGTCCTGAGGTTTAGCAGGCACCACAACAGGACCACTTTCTTCCTACCCAGCAGTAAAGGACATTCTTTGTCATCTTTCCTTACCTCTGCAGTAAAACCACCTTCATACAGAATTTTGGCTCCTGTTACTCAGAATTTCATGCCCAGTGATGAGTAATTGTCAGGGGTCCATCTGGGACAGTTCTATTGAATTTCAAAGGCAAGATTTACTGATAATTTTTTCCTCATCTCACCTGTGAAAGGATGCTCCACTGCAGTGGTGATGATTGTCCCTGTGTGGGAACAATTTTGCTTTCTCTCCTTTTTCATCAGTGTATTTTACACATACAGCAAAATGATGTTTTACAATATTGATTTATGACTCATTCCTTTTTCCTCCCACAATTTCCCCTTATCCATTCACCCATATGATCAAGGAGCAGGCTTAATATTTCGTGTCAAGAAAGTAAGTGTGTGGGAGAGTTTAAGGTAAAGTGGTGTGTATGACCCATCCTCCCTGCTGAGAGCTTATGAGAATTTGGGGCAAATTAGGAAGATCTTGCAGAAGCAAGGGAGGGACCAGTACTGAGACCAAAACTGACTTTTGGCTCCTGTTACTCAGAATTTCTGCTAGAGATGCAGCCAGAGACCAGAGGGAGCCGCAGCCAGAGACCAGAGGGGGCCGTAGCCAGAGACCAGAGGGAGCCGTAGCCAGAGACCAGAGGGGGCCGTAGCCAGAGATCAGAGGGAGCCGTAGCCAGAGACCAGAGGATGCTGGTTGCACAGAACCTCTGGAAGGACGGGACTGACAGTGTTTCTGAAGATGCTGGTGGTCCACTTACAGGAGGGAGGGGCCCTGTGGACACCTCGGGAGCAAGCTGTGTGGGCTGGTGGCTGAGGACTGATTCTCCTCCACAAATGCCTGGGCACTTTGGAGATGGGAAAATCCTAATCAGAACAGAGTTCTGGTGGAATGGGGACCTCAGTATGTAATGAAGATGGTGGACAAAAGGAATATTGTTGTTGCTGTTGTTTATCTCTCTTGAATTTTTGGGCTGAGCATCACAGCTACTATAGGAGGTAACCAAGTCTAGAATCAACAAACATACTTGTGAGTTGCTTATAACATGGATAGAGTACAGCCCTTTGAATCCAAGCCAATTCTTTTTCAAAACAATACCAGTAATACTCTTGCAAAATAGGTGGAGAGAGGTGAGTTGTCTTCTCAAAATTCCTGTTGAATTAGGAAATGCCAGTAGCCTCTGATGACACTGTGAAAAGAAAATAAAAACTTGGGATTTCCAATTCACTCTGCCAAAAGAAAAAATTAAGCTGAAAGCCAAGTCATGCAAGAAACTGCCTTTCCTTTTGTTCTTAAGCAAAGAGCTACAAACAAAAAGTTAAATTTCCCTCCAAGTACCTACTATATGTTCACCTTATCTTGTGTAAAGTGCCGATGTGCTGAGTGTGAGAAGATGAATGCATAAAGTTCCCCTACCTCCTCCTTTTTTTCTTGCATCACGTGGATTCAGTAATGTGACCATACCCTCCCTCTTTCCTCTCCAGCCTGCTTTGCCCCATTGGTCATTGAAGTTCTCAGAATCATCTTTAAAGAAAGGCAGTAAGTTCCCCCTCAGGCATGTCTTTAACCTTGGCAAAATAAACTTCTGCATTGATTGAGACCTGTCTCAGATGCTTTTTGATTTACAGCAGTGAGTTGAAGAGTACTTCTATGTGCTGGCCAGCTCCTGGACAGACACCTGGTGATCAACACAGGAGAAGAGAGAGGGAGAAAGAGGGCAGGTGCAGCCTTGTTAGCATTGGCTGATAAGATTAGATTATCTACAGATTTCATGAGAAGCTTATCATGATGTTTAAGACCCTTATGTTGGACTCTGAGTTTGTGAGATGGAAACTATTCGTAGAGAGTGAAGGTGAATCCACTAGCTCTAACCCAAACTCTGCTGTCCATCCAGGATAAACAAGGACCATCACAGCAGCTTCAAGGCACAGCTGATGCATTGTAGGCTTTTGGGAAGACAAACGAGTCATTTCTGCAGGCTCTGAGACAAGGCAAAGGATGCTGGAGCCCCTCCAGATGGGCATGCCCCTCAATAGAGACACAGACGCAGAAGAGTTGTGCCTTGGAGTACTGCAGACTCCATAAGAGCTGGGGGAGCTCTTTTGAGCCTTGTTGTGGGACCATTTCTAAAGTTACCACTAAAAGATTACACAAGCTCACATGTTCAGTATTTTGGTTTTTCTTTGAGGCAATATGACTGTTTCATGATAGATTAATCCCCAAAGAAACCACACTCCTAGTAATGCAGAATCCAAGGTGTATTGGAGGCTTGGTAGGTTGAGTATGGAGGTAGGATGGGACAGACATCACAGGAGACAGAGGAATGAGAGAACGGAGTCCATTTGGTTTTGCAAGAGTCAGCATTTGCTTTTATCCAAAAGACAGGTAATAACAAGTCCTGGAGAGGATGTGGAGAAAACGGAACTATTGTATACAGTTGGTGAGAATGTAAATTAGTATGACCACTATGGAGGACAGTTTGGTGGTTTCTCCAGAACAAAAAATAGAGCTACCATAGGATCCAGCAATCCCACTGCTGGGTATATACAAGGAAAATAGCAGGGGAAAGAAGGGAAATTACTACATTGAAGAGATATCTCCACTCCCATGTTTATTGTAGCACTGTTCACAATAGCTGAGATTTGGAAGTAACTTAAGTGTCCATCAGCAGATGAATGGGTAAAAAAAACGTGGTACATGCACACAATGGAGTACTATTCAGCCATAAAAAGAATGAGAGCCTGTCATTTGGAACGACATGGATGGAACTGGAGGTCATTATGTTAAGTGAAATAAGCCACGCACAGGAAAACATTGCATGTTCTCACTTATTTGTGGGGTGTAAAAACCAGAACAATTGAATTCATGGAGATAGAGGGAAAAATAATGGTTAACAGAGGCTGGGAAGGGTATAGTGGATGTTGGGGAGGTGGAGATGGTTAAATGAGTACAAAAAAAGTTAGAAAGAATGAATAAAACTAGTATTTGATAGCAAAACAGGGTTACTATAGTCAAAATAATTTACTTACACATGAAAAAATAAAAGAGTGTAATTGGATAGTTTGTAACACACAGGATAAATGCTTGAGGGGATGGATATTCCCATTCTCCATGATGTGATTATTATGCACTGTGTGCCCATAACAAGTATCTCATATACTCCATAAATACATACACGTACTATGTACCCACGAAATTTAAAAACTAAAATTTTTTTAAAAAAAGAGTTGATGTTTATTCCACTGCAGGGTTCCAAGAACAGAGGAGCCTGCCCTGCTTCCTGGCATGGAGGCCAAGACACAGCATGTGGTGGAAGCAGCGCTCCTGTGATAACAGAGTTAATCCACTCACCAGGGTGGGCCCTCAAGACCCAAAGCCTCACCGCTCCACACCGCCACAACGGCAACCAAGTTTCCAACACACGAACCTTCAGGGACCACATTTAAACCC
Source organism: Homo sapiens (assembly GCF_000001405.40). NCBI lineage: Eukaryota > Metazoa > Chordata > Mammalia > Primates > Hominidae > Homo > Homo sapiens. The sequence goes on from NC_000007.14 coordinate 153,222,980, forward strand.
AAGCAGAGGTTGATGTGATTGATAGGAAGGTGCCCATAGACAATCTTAGGATGCAAGATGACTTGAATGAAAAGGTTACAGAAATGTGTGAAGATAACTGGGGAAAGGTTATGAATTAATGGCTTCTTATATCTTCAGACCTCACCACTTAGAGGGCAATAAACAATGCCCCTCATGTGGAAAGAGGATTGCATCAGGTAAAAAATTCAGCCTTTATAATGAGAGTTTAATGTCCTCTAGGTCTTATGTTGCTTCTGGATGAAGTGGCAATGGTCAGTTTCCAAATAGCATCCCTTAGTAGGCCAATTTCAGACTGATCTGAGTTCTTATTTTTTATTTTTAATTATTATTATTATTATTATTATTTTTGAGACAGAGTCTCTTACTCTGTCACCCAGGCTGGAGTGCAGTGGCATGATCTCTGCCTACTGCAACATCTGCCTCCGGGTTCAAGTCATTCTCCTGCCTCAGCCTCCCGAGTAGCCAGGATTACAGATGCCTGCCACCATGTCCAGCTAATTTTTGTGTTTTTAGTAGAGGATGGGGTTTCACCATATTGGCCAGGCTGGTCTCAAACTCCTGACCTCAGATGATCCGCCCGCCTCGGCCTCCCAAAGTGCTGGGATTGCAGGCGTGAGTCACCGTGTCTGGCCCTGTTCTGAGTTCTATTTCTGCCCTAGTCAAACTGGCACCTCAGTGTTTTATTTTATTTTTACATTAAAAGGGTCACAGACGATACTCAAGTTTCAGGAATATTGCTGAATATGATATCTGCAGTTTGAAGATTCATTATGCAAACCAGCTTACTGGCGCTCAGAGTGTTTTTACGTAGGGAAATTATGTTAGCTTTACTGAATATTATCATTCCAGATGTATATAGACTCAGAACACATTTTTATTAGAGCATATTGTTGATTTTATCTGGTCCAGTTTCTCCAGTAGCTCTGGATTAGGTAAATCCTAAGTCCTCCAACTCATTCAATTCCATCCACAGTCAGGCACACAAATCAATCCAATCTTCTCCACCACTGCTTTTCCAAAATAAATAATCACTAATAAATCATCAGATGGGGGAAAGGATTGTCTCATTTTCCTGCAGCTCCCCCTGTCACCATCTTTTGCACATGTAGCAGGCCCACAGATCACTCCTACATCTTTACTCATGCTGTAACTCTCCTAGGAACCCCTTTCAGCATTATCACCTAGGTTTTAATGTACACATTAAGCCCTGATACTCTATGAAGCCCTTCCTAATTTCTTTCATTATTTTGTTAATAATAATGGCTAATACTTTGTGAACATTTGCTACGCATCATAAACTCTAATGAAAGCCCTTTTTATGCATTATTTCACATAGCTATTAGTATTCAGTGAGAGTGGGTATGTGATTAACTCTCTAGACCTCAGCTTCCTGATCTGTAAAATGAGCATAAAAATCCTTACTGAGACAGCACAGCTGGTGAGTAGCAGGGCTATGATTCAAACTCACTGCTGACCGACTCCAGAGCCTGCCTTCTTAAACACTATGCCATAGCCTGTCTCTCAAAATTCATTCTCATATCCAAATTCCTGTAAAGTTTTTTATTAGACCAGTTTTAGAATTTAGTTATTTATCATCTATTTTAACATTCACTGCTGTATAAATGGCTTCTTTTTAATTAAGTTGTAAATTTAGAGCATAAGTTAAGACTATACAGATCTCTAAAAAAAGTACTTGTTTTCTTCTAGGTACTTGAGGACAATGATAGCTGCCTAAATCTACCACACCACAATGCAGAAGACTGCACAAGGGAAGAACCTTGAGAACCACATAAAACTCAGGCTCTGCTGCAAGCCTTTCTTGCAGGCAAAGGCAGTCTAATAAACATTTTTTAAAAATCTTGCATAGAAGAGAGAAGAAGGGAGTGAGCAGCAGATCTAAAATCTTTCTGAAACCACCACTAGGATGATAAAGTTATCCTAACTGTGAAAATACGGAAAAAAAGTGCATTACTGCATCACAGTGCTGATTACAGGGAAGAGACTTATAATACATGTGCTTTGAAGTGGCAGTCTTCAAAAGGTACAGCTTCTGAGAGAAAAAGATGAAAAACTAAGAGGGAGGCACTGCAGTGACTGGGTGGTAAAAAATAAAAGAAGTGGAAGGAAAAGTTACAGTCTTACAAGGCAAAGGGTAACATGAAAGTCAGAGGGTACATAACCACTTCCTGCATCAACAGAAATCTCATCCCTGAAAAAATGTAGACTGTTGCTATACAGACAGAGGAGGATGACAAGCCATTAAACTAGAAATCTTGTAAACCACCACTCATATGCAAAACGAATAGTATTGAGAGGTGAAGCTAGCAGGGCTTCTTGGTCGAGTGTGGACTTGGAGAACTTTTCTGTCTAGCTAGAGGATTGTAAACGCACCAATCAGCACTCTGCATCTAACTAAAGGATTGTAAATGCACCAATCAGCACTCTGTAAAATGGACCAATCAGCACTCTGTAAAGTGGAAGAATCAGTGCTCTGTAAAATGCACCAATCAGCAGGATGTGGGTGGGGCCAAATAAGGTTATAAAAGCTGGCCACCGGAGCCTGCAGGAACAACCCAATTGGGTCCTTTTCCATCCTGTGGAAGCTTTCTTCTTTCACTCTTCACAATAAATCTTGCTGATGCTCACTCTTTATGAGCTGTAACACTCACCAGAGGGTCTGTGGCTTCATTCCTGAAGTCAGTGAGACCACGAACCCACCAACCCACGGGGAGGAACAAACAACTCCAGATGCACTGCCTTTAAGGGCTGTAACACTCACTGCAAAGGTCTGCGGCTTCACTCCTGAAGTAAATGAAACCACGAACCCACTGGAAGGAAGAAACTCGGGACACATCTGAACGTCTGAAGGAACAAACTCCGGGCACACCATCTTTAAGAACTGTAACAGCTCACCACGAGGGTCCACGGCTTCGTTCTTGAAGTCAGCGAGACCAAGAACCCACCAGAAGGAACCAATTCTGGACACAGGGTGAAATGGAATAAGTCTATGCAAAGTTACCACAAAGACACAAAAAGTGAGAATTAACACATTTCAGCTGGATGAAACTTCTCACCAGAAACAACCATGAAGAAAAATAAACATGTAAGAAATGATTCAAAATGAGTTAAATATACTAAAATCTCAAATCTGAAGAGCCACTTTGAATTAGAAATCTGAAAACTGAAAGCAAAAATAGAAAAAGCAGAAAAAAATGAACAGAGTTGATTGAACTTAGCAAAGAAATGATAAAAAGAAGACAAAATCATCTCAGAGTGAAGAAGACCGAAATGGAAGATAATAAAGTGAATTGACGGAACGCAAGAAAATAATCTGCAAATGAATATAAGGTAAAGGAAGATGTAAAAAGGCCCAGTAGAGACTGGTTGACTAGAGGATAAATAAGAAACAACATACATAAAATTGAAGTTATTGATGTAGAAAACCAAACAATAGAACAGAATTAATATTTAAATCTAATCCAGAAAACTTTCCAGTAATAAAATAACACAAATTTACATAATGAAGGAGATCACAGAATACCCGGGAAAATAAAGCAGGAATGACTGACGAACTTCAAGACATACTCTAGTAAAATCATTAGACTTCCAAGATAAAACAAGCACTTTTTTTATTAGACCAGTTTTAGAATTTAGTTATTTATTGTCTTTTAAAATTCACTGCTATATAAATGTCTTCTTTTTAACTAAGTTTTAAATTTAGAGCACAAGTCTAATCCCAATACTTTCAGGTAAAAACATTAAGTAACATATGAGAGAAAAATAAGCTGTAATTAGAATTCTTAGAAACAACATAAAAAGAAAGGCAAAGCAACAGTGGAACAGAATAAAAAAAATCCATGTGAAAGGAAATGTGGGAAAGGATCTTTATTTCCAGTCAAACTGTCTAAGTGCCAAGATTACAGAAAGCCATTTTAGACATACAGCAACACAGGGAATTGTGTGTCTAACGGGGGGTGAGCTTCATTGGAATAAGAGATGATTATAAAAATTTCAGCAAAACGACCAGTCGTCTGCATAACAATATAATTGTACATACAAGGCTAAAACAAAGGCAGAGGCAGGGAAGAAAGACTAGCATACAAATGTTACGTGTTATGAAAAACGGAAATAATATGACTTTAACAAAGAGAGGAAAAGATAGAGGGAAAGGAAAAATGAACCACCCGTTGTCTTTTAGAAAGTAGGTGGGGGTTGTAGTATATCACTAAATATTGATATATCAGATAGGAAAAAGTTAAATAAGAAAACAGCTGGTGCTACTGAAAAAAAAAACATAGGTACAAAGACAAACACTACGACAAAAATACAAAATTCCTAAGTACAAAAGAGTAAAGGTTTTAAAAATAAAGAGCAAAACACAAATGCCATGCAGAGAAAAGAACAAAGCAAAAATAACATAATACTTAAAATATTATGACCAAGTTACTATTTGGAGTAGTAGTCATATTGACAATTATGAATGCACTGTTAAAATACAAAGATTTTAATTTGTTATGCAATGGAAGACTTATCTAACAAGAGATACACCTGCAATGAAATACTTCAGAAAGGTTAAATATAAAGAGATGAAGAAGTATACCAGGCGAGTGAAAACAATGTGAGAAGAGATTGCTAATCCAAATATTACAATTGAAGTCTAAAAGTATTAAATGTGACAAATAAGGATGTTTTAAAATGCTAAACATAATTTTTAATGGAGATACAGTGGTAATAAACTTGTCTATACCACTTCACACTGTAACCATGTTTATGAAATAAAAATTACAGGAGATGTAACAGAAACACAAAGGAGATATCAACACATCAGTTTCAGTACAGGACAGATCATGTTGAAAAAAATCAGTGAGGATATGGAAGACCTAAGTAATATTATAAAGATAATCTGTGGATACATACCAAACTAGATATTCTCATAACAGAGAATATGCCTTATTCTCAAGTTTACATGGAATATTTACAAAAATTAACTGTATATTAACAAATAGAGTTCCAAGGAGTAAAATACTGTAAACAAATTTTTATTTTACAATACAATAAAACTCGAGATTATTAACAAAATCCTGAAAGAAAAAAGACCTCTCCATCTAGTAAAATTTTATTAAATAACCCTTGGTAAAAGGGGAAATGCAAATTGATATTAAAGAATTTCTAAAAACTAATGATAGTGGAAACGACCTATCAAATCTATGTGATGTATTTAAAGCAGTGATTAGAAGAAAATTCATAGGACTAAACACTGATCAATAGAAATGAAAATAAATGAGTGAAGTATCAGTTCAAAAAACTAGGGATCCAAAGGAAACAAAGCAAACCAAAAGAAAGCACACAGAAGGAAATACTAACGTTAAAATCAGAGAATAAGAATGTAGAAAAGAGTGTACCAAATACATAAATTGAAACCTTTCCTTTTTTTTTTTTTCAAAAGTTAACAAACATCACAAAGCACCAGCTCCTTTAATTGAGAAAAGAAGAAAGCACGATGTACAAAATAATGACAAGGGGGACTAACCACTGAAACGGTAAGGAAGTAGGGTATGCAGGATTGGGCAGAGGGAAAAACTGAACTGCAGTGTGGTTGCAACTGTGGCTCCAGCCAGTTCTGCCTGGAGTGCGGATGTATCTTCGAATTTCTCCCAGTTTGAAGCAAAGGGCTCTTCCTTTGTATCCCTGAATTGATAAGTCCTGACAGGTCATAACTGTGGCTGATGCTGTTCCACGTGGCTGAGGGTAATTCCAGTGGGAAGTGCAGCTGTGAGCTCTCAGCCCATATTCTCAGCAGCTGGATTTGAGTGCAATGGCCCTGAGAAGGGGGTGTTGGTGAGCACAGTAATCTATGATTATCTTTGTGTTAAAGGACTGAATCTTTGTTCTTTAGTGCTCAAGCACATTAATTTTTTTACCACATAATTTTTGTTTATTTTTGACCCTTCACAGCAATACATTTTGAAAATGTAACTTCCAAATGCTGAATGACTGATTTGAGAATTTTCTTTTTTTAAAAAAATGTACTTTAAGTTCTGGAATGCGTGTGCAGAACATGTAGGTTTGTTATATAGGTATACATGTGTCATGGAAGTTTGCTGCACCCATCAAACTGTAATCTACATTAGGCATTTCTCCTAATCATATCCCTCCCCTACCTCCCCTTCCACCAACAGGCCCCAGTGTGGGATGTTCCCCTCCCTGTGTCCATGTATTCTCGTTGTTCAGCTCCCACTCATGAGTGAGAACATGCAGTGTTTGGTTTACTGTCCTGTGTTAGTTTGCTGAGAATGATGGTTTCCAGCTTCATCCATGTCTCTGCAAAGGAAATGAACTCATCCTTTTTTATGGCTACAGAGTATTCCATGGTGTATATGTGCCACATTTTCTTTATCCAGCCTATCATTGATAGGCATTTAGGTTGGTTCCAAGTCTTTGTTATTGTGAATAGTGCCACAATAAACATACATGTGCATGTGTCTTTACAGTAGAATGATTTATAATCCTTTGGGAATATACCCAGTAATGGGATTGCTGGGTCAAATGGTATTTCTGGTTCTAGATCCTTGAGGAATCACCACACTGTCTTCCACAATGGTTGAACTAATTTATACTCCCACCAACAGTGTAAAAGTGTTCCTATTTCTCCACATCCTCTCCAGCATCTGTTGTTTCCTGATTTTTTAATGATCCCCATTCTAACTGGTGTGAGATGATATCTTATTGTGGTTTTGATTTGCATTTCTCTGATGACCAGGGATGATGAGCTTTTGTTAATATGTTTCTTGGCCACATAAATGTCTTCTTTTGAGAAGTGTCTGTTCATATCCTTTGCCCACTTTTTGATGGGGTTGTTTTTTTCTTGTAAATTTAAGTTCCTTGTAGATTCTAGATATTAGCCCTTCATCAGATGGATAGATTGCAAAAATTTTCTTCCATTCTTTAGGTTGCCTGTACTCTCTGGTGATAGTTTCTTTTGCTGTGCAGAAGCTCTTTAGTTTAATTAGATCCCATTTGTCAATTTTGGCTTTTGTTGTCCTTGCTTTTGGTGTTTTAGTCACAAAGTCTTTGCCCATGCCTATGTCCTGAATGGTATTGCCTAGGTTTTCTTCTAGGGTTTTTATGGCTTTAGGTCTTACATTTAAGTCTTTAATCCATCTTGAGTTAATTTTTGTATAAGGTGTAAGGAAGGGGTCCAGTTACAGTTTTCTGTATATGGCTAGCCAGTTTTCCCAACACCATTTATTAAATAGGGAATCCTTTCCCTATTGCTTATTTTTGTCAGGTTTATCAAAGATCAGGTGGTTGTAGATGTGTGGCGTTATTTCTGAGGCCTGTGTTCTGTTCCATTGGTCTGTATATCTGTTTTGGTACCAGTACCATGCTGTTTTGGTTACTGTAGACTTGTAGTATAGTTTGAAGTCAGGTAGCGTGATGCCTCCAGCTTTATTCTTTTTGCTTAGGATTGTCTTGGCTATACAGGCTCTTTTTTGGTTCCATATAAAATTTAAAGTAGTTTTTTCCTAATTCTGTGAATAAAGTCAATGGTAGCTTGATGGGGATAGCATTGAGTCAGTAAATTACTTTGGGCAGTATGGCCATTTTCACGATATCAATTTATCCTATCCATGAGCATGGATTGTTTTTCTATTTGTTTGTGTCTTCTCTTATTTCCTTGAGCAGTGGTTTGTAGTTCTCCTTGAAGAGGTCCCTCACATTGCTTGTAAATTGTATTCCTAGGTATTTTATTCTCTTTGTAGCAATTGTGAATGGGAGTTCACTCATGATTTGGCTCTTTGTTTGTCTATTATTGGTCTAGGAATGCTAGTGATTTTCACACATTGATTTTGTATCCTGAGACTTTGCTGAAGTTACCTATCAGCTTAAGGAGATTTGGGGCTGAGATGATGGGATTTTCTAAATACACAATCATGTCATCTGCAAACAGAGACAGTTGGACTTCCTCTCTTCCTATTCGAATACCCTTTATTTCTTTCTCTTGCTTAATTGCCCTGGACCGAACTTCCCATACTATGTTGGATAGGAATGGTGAGAGAGGGCATCCTTGTCTTGTGCCAGTTTTCAAAGGGAATACTTCCAGCTTTTGCCCATTCAGTATGATATTGGCTGTGGGTTTGTCATAAATAGCTCTTATTATTTTGAGATAGGTTCCATCAATACCTAGTTTATTGAGAGTTTTTAGCATGAAGAGATGTTGAATTGTATCAAAGGCCTTTTCTGCATCTGTTGAGATAATCATGTGGTTTTTGTCATTGGTTCTGTTTATATGATGGATTATGTTTATTGATTTGTGTATGTTGAACCATCCTTGCATGCCAGGGATGAAACCGATTTGATAGTGGTGGGTAAGCTTTTTGATGTGCTGCCGGATTCACTTTGCCAGTATTTTATTGAGGATTTTTGCATTGATGTTCATCAGGGATATTGGCCCAAAATTTTCTTTTTTTGTTGTATCTCTGACAGGTTTTGGTATCAGGATGATGTTGGCCTCATAAAATGCATTAGGAAGGAGGCCCTCTTTTTCTATTTTTTGGAATAGTTTCAGAAGGAATGGTACTAGCTCCTCTTTCTACCTTTGGTAGAATTCAGCTGTGAATCCGTCTGGTCCTGGGCTTTTTTTTTTTGGTTGGCAGGTTGTTAATTACTGCCTCAATTTCAGAACTTGTTATTGGCCTATTCAGGGATTCAATTTCTTCTTGGTTTAGACTTGGGAGGGTGTGTGTGTCCAGGAATTTATTCATTTCTTCTAGATTTTCTAGTTTATTTGCATAGAGGTGTTTATAGTATTTTCTGATGATAGTTTGCATTTCTGTGGGATCAGTGGTGAAATCCCCTTTATCATTTTTATTGTGTCCATTTGATTCTTCCCTCTTTTCTTCTTTATTAGTCTGGCTAGCAGTCTATCTATTTTGTTAATCTTTTCAAAAAAGCAGCTCTTGGATTCATTGATTTTTTGAGGGTTTTTTTTGTGTCTCTATCTCCTTCAGTTCTGCTCTGATCTTAGTTATTTCTTGTTTTCTGCTGGCTTTTGAATTTGTTTGTTCTTGCTTCTCTAGTTCTTTTAATTGTGATGTTAGGGTGTCAATTTTATCTTTCCTGCTTTCTCCTGTGGGTATTTAGTGCTATAAATTTCTCTGTAAACACTACTTTAGCTGTTTCCCAGAGGTTCTGGTACATTGTGTCTTTGTTCTCACTTGTTTCAAGGAATTATTTATGTCTACCTTAATTTTGTTATTTACCCAATAGTCTTTCAGGAGCAGATTGTTTAGTTTCCATGTAATTGTGCGGTTTTGAGTGAGTTTCTTAATCCTGAGTTCTAATTTGATTGCACTGTGGTCTGAGAGACTGTTTGTTATGATTTCTGTTCTTTTGCCTTTGCTGAGGAGTGTTTTACTTCCAATTATATGGTCAAGTTTAGAATAAGTGTGATGTGGTGCTGAGAATAACGTATATTCTGTTGATTTTGGGTGGAGAGTTCTGTAGATGTCTGTTAGGTCCTCTTGGTCCAGAGCTGAGTTCAAATCCTGAATATCCTTGTTAATTTTCTGTCTCATTGATCTGTCTAATATTGACATGGGGTGTTAAAGTCTCCCACTATTATTGTGTGGGAGTCTAAGTCTCTTTGTAGGTCTCTAGGAACTTGCTTGATGAATCTGGGTGCATGTATATTTAGGATAGTTAGCTCTTCTTGTTGCATTGATCCGTTTATCATTATGTAATGCCCTTCTTTGTCTTTTTTGATCTTTGTTGGTTTAAAGTCTGTTTTATCAGGGACTAGGATTAGAACCCCTGCTTTTTTTTTTTTTTTTTTTTTTGGCTTTCCATTTGCTTGGTAAATATTCCTCCATCCCTTTATTTTGAGCGTATGTGTGTCTTTGCATGTGAGATTGGTCTCCTGAATACAGCACACCAATGGGTCTTGCCTCTTTATCCAATTTGCCAGTCTGTGTCTTTTAATTGGGGCATTTAGCCCATTTTTATTTAAGGTTAGTACTGTTATGTGTGAATTTGATCCTGTCATTATGATGCTAGCTGGTTATTTTGCCCATTAGTTGATGCAGTTTCTTCATAGTGTCGATGGTCTTTGCAATTTGGTATCTTTAGTGGCGGGTACTGGTTTTTCCTTTCCATGTTTAATGCTTCCTTCAGGAGCTCTTGTAAGGCAGGCCTGGTGGTGACAAAATCTCTCAGCATTTGCTTGTCTGTAAAGGATTTTATTTCTCCTTCACTTCTAAGGCTTAGTTTGGCTGGATATGAAATTCTGGGTTGAAAATTCTTTTCTTTAAGAATGTTGAATATTGGCCCTCATTCTCTTCTGGCTTGTGCAGTTTCTGCAGAGAGATCCACTGTTAGTCTGATAGGCTTCCCTTTGTGGGTAACCTGATGTTTCTCTCTGGCTGCTCTTAACATTTTTTTCCTTCATTTCACCCTTGGCGAATCTGATGATTATGTGTCTTGGGGTTGCTCTCCTTGTGGAGTATCTTTGTGGTGTTCTCTGTACTTCCTGAATTTGAATGTTGGCCTGTCTTGCTAGGTTGGGGAATTTCTCCAGGATAATATCCTGATGAGTGTTTTCCAACTTGGTTCCAATCTCCCTGTCACTTTCAGGTCCACTAATCAAATGTAGGTTTGGACTTTTCACACAGTCCCGTATTTCTTGGAGGCTTTTTCATTCTTTTTTCTCTAATCTTGTCTTCACACTTTATTTCATTAAGTTGATCTTCAGTCTCTGATATCCTTTCCTCCACTTGATGAATTTGGCTATTGATACTTGTGTGTGCTTCATGAAGTCCTTGTGCTGTATTTTTCAGCTCCATGAGGTCATTTATGTCCTTCTCTAAACTGGTTATTCTAGTTAGCAGTTCCTGTAACCTTTTATCAAGGTTCTTAGCTTCCTTGTATTGGGTTAGAACGTGATCCTTTAGCTTGGAGGAGTTTGTTATTACCTACCTTCTGAAGCCTACTTCTGTCAATTCGTCAAACTCATTCTCCATCCAGTTTTGTTCCCTTGCTGGCAAGGAGTTGTGATCTTTTAGAGGAGAAGAAGTATTCTGGTTTGGGGAATTTTCAGCCTTTTTGCGCTGTTTTTTCCCTATCTTGTGGATTTATCTATTTTTGGTCTTTGATGCTGGTGACCTTTGGGTGGGGTTTTTGTGTGGACATTCTTTTTGTTGATGTTGATGCTATTCCTTTCTGTTAGTTTTCCTTCTAAAAGTCAGGCTCCTCTGCTGCAGGTCTGCTGGAGTTTGCTGGAGGTCCACTCCAGATCTGGTTTTCCTGGGTATCACCAGCGGAGGCTGCAGAACAGCAAAGATTGCTGCCTGTTCCTTCCTCTGGTAGCTTCATCCCAGAGGGGCACCTGCTAGTTGCCAGCTGGAGCTCTCCTGTATGAGGTGTCTGTCGACCCCTGCTGGGAGGTGTCTTCCAGTCAGGAGTCATGGGGGTCAGGGACCCACTTGAGGAGGCAGTCTGTCCCTTAGCAGAGCTCGAGTGCTGTGCTGGGAGAGCTGCTGCTCTCTTCAGAGCCGGCAGGCACAAACATTTATGTCTGCTGAGGCTGCACCCACAGCTGCCCCTTCCCCTAGGTGCACTGTCCCAGGGAGATGGGACTTTTATCTATAAGCCCCTGACTGGGCTGCTGCCTTTCTTTCAGAGATGCCCTGACCAGAGAGAAGAAATATAGAGAGGCAGTCTGGCTACAGTGGCTTTGCTGAGCTGTGGTGGGCTCCGCCCAGTTTGAACTTCCCTGCGGCTTTGTTTACACTGTGAGGGGGAAAATGCCTACTCAAGCCTCAGTAATGGTGGACGCCCCTCCACCCACCAAGCTCGAGTGTCTCTGGTCAAATTCAGAGTGCTGGATCTTCAGACTGGATCTTCAGACTGCCAGTGGATCTTAGTTTGCTGGGCTCTGTGGGGATGGGATCTGCTGAGCTAGACCACTTGGGTCCCTGGCTTCAGCCCTTTATCCAGAGGAGTGAACAGTTCTGTCTCACTGGCATTCCAGGTACCACTGGGGTATGAAAAAAAACTCCTGCAGCTAGCTTGGTGTCTGCCTAAATGGCTGCCCAGTTTTGTGCTTGAAACCCAGGGCCCTGATGGTGTAGCCACCAGAGGGAATCTCCTGGTCTGCGGGTTGTGAATACCATAGGAAAACCATAGCATCTGCACCTGATAGCACTGTTCCTCATGGCACAGTCCCTCAGGGCTTCCCTTGGCTAGGGGAGGGAGTTCCCGACTCCTTGCACTTCCCAGGTGAGGCGATGCCCCACCCTGCTTCAGCTCACCCTCTGTGGGCTGCTCCTACTGTCTAACCAGTCCCAATGAGATGAGCCGTGTACCTCAGTTGGAAATGCATAAATCACCTGCTTTCTGCATCAGTCTTGCTGGGAGCTGCAGACTGGAGCTGTTCCTATTCAGCTATCGTAAACACATTAATTTTTCACACAGCAAACTGCTCTGTTCCCAGTAAAAATGTCCTAACCTTGTACTACCCTCCAAATGAGCTTGTTAATGAGGAATACAGATGAAAATGTCTCAGTCTCTGAAATCCTGAAGGCCATCTGTATTAACTGTTGTGGCACTACAGTGTAGCCCAAATCTTAGCAGCTTAAAATTATGAACAGGCTTGCTGGGCACGATGGCTCATGCCTATAATCCCAGCACTTTGGGAGGCCCAGGCGGATGGATCACCTGAGGTCAGGAGTTGAAGACCAGCCTGACCAACATGGTGAAACCCTGTCTCTACTAAAAATACAAAAAATTAGTCAGGCGTGGTGGTGGGCACCTGTAATCCCAGCTACTTGGGAGGCTGAGGCAGAAGAATTGCTTGAACTCAGGAGGTGGAGGTTGCAGTGAGCTGAGATTGTGCCATTGCATGCCAGCCTGGGCAACAAGAGCAAAACTCTGTCTCAAAAAAAAAAATTATGAACAGGCTTGACTTAGCTGGGTGGATCTGGCTCAAGGTCTCTCTCGAGGTTGCAGTCAAGCTGTTGGCCAGGGCTATGACCATCGCAATGGGGGATGGAGGTCCTGTGCCCAAGCTCACTTATGTGACTTGGCAGGAGGCTTCATTGCCTCACCATGTGGGCCTTTCCATGGGGCTGCTCATGACACAACTTCCCCTAGAATAGACGATCCAAATGGGCAAGAGAGAGACCTAAATAGAAGTGCAGTTCCTGTCAGCCTGGGAACTCCAGAAGGGAAGGAGTTTGCATTAGTGTCCTTGGGTTCTGGTAACAAAGCAGAACTGAGTGGCTCAACCACAGGAAAAGGTTGTCTTATGGTTCTGCAGGCTGGAGGTCTCAGACAGAAATGTTGGCGGGGGGGTTCCTTCTGGGGACTGTGAGGGAGAATCTGTTTTGTGCCTCTTCCCTATCTTCTAGTGGTTTTCTATCACTGGTGTTTTTTGGCATCTAGATGCATCATCCCAATCTCTGCCTTTATCTTCATATGGCGTTCTCCCTGTGTCATGTCTGTTTCTGTGTCCAGATTTCCCCTTTGTATAAGAACAACAGTTATATTGGATTACGGTTCACCATAATGATCTTATTTTAACTTGATTACCTCAGTAAAGACTTTATTTCCAAATAAGGTCACTTTCCCAGGTCTTGGAGATTGGGACTTCAGCATATTTTGTGGGAGACAAAATTAAGCCCAATAACAGAGTGAAAACCTGAGGTCTGAGATTAGGGTGGGTGAGTAGATGCTCTTGAGAAACTTCAGCATCCAGCATCTCTCGTATTGCTCGTCCTAAAGAAGTGGCCTATTCCATCTTGCTAAAAGATGGCTCCTTGCTTGAAGATTATGCAGAGGTTTCAAAAGAGTCAAGTTTCTTAAAAGACAATGCCTTCCCCTTCAGGGTGTTTCTGGCAGCAATCTAATAACAAGTGTCAAATCCCAGCAGAGCCCAAAGAGGGTCATGCTGAGCTGCCAAGTGAGGAGGAGGCTCATAATCCGAAGTCCTCCAGGGTCTGCTAGCAGGCATGGGAGTTGTCCCAAGGGTGCTGGATCAAGGAGGGGCAGAACATAGAATTGGGTGAAGGAGAGGTTATGGACGTGGAAGCAATACCTTACAATAGAAGATATAACAACTGGCAAGGACCATGGGAATGGGGCTGATATGTTGCCAGGATGGCTCTTGAAATTCTTGAGAAAATCAATGGCCCAGAGTAAGTGAAGCAGAAATGCCAGAGTTGTCATGACAGATGGTAGAAGAAAGGATCAAAAGGACCAGATAATTGCACATACTAAGCCATGATTAACACAGTTTCCTCTCTTAGGTATGCATCTGAGGAGATGGCGAAGACATTTTTAACATCTTTATCAGGTAGGTGGATCAAAAACAGCTTATGTTTATGTGAAAAGCACAACAGTAAATGTTTAGAGTCTTTCTCTGCGGTTATGTTACCTCTCCCACCATCTGTCATTTTATAGTCTGAAGATCCCTGGACCATCTAGGAATTGTCTATGATACTACATGGGTACACTCTATCTATGGCACCATGTTAATCATGCTGGATGAACAAGAAATGGCAAATATGTTAGAGAACTTGATAAGGCATATGTTCACATTCTTCACAGGATGGAAAAATAAATGTTATGAAGGTTCAGGGATCTGTCACAGTCACAAAATTTGTAGGTGTCTGGAAGTCTGGGACTTGCTGGGACATCCCCTCTAAATAAAGGATGAATTGTTGAATCTAGTATTGCCCACAGTCAAGAAAGATGAGAAGAATTTGGCAGGCACCCAGGATTATGGAGTCAACATCTTTGGCACTTGGGAATACTGATTGTACCCATTTAGAGGAGACATGGAGGGTATGCATTTTTAAGTGGAACCTGAGCCCAGGCTGGCATCTACATCGTTTCCAGGCTGCAGCACAGCTGGTCCTTCCATTTTTGTCATTTGACCTGACAGATGTATGACCCTGTAGGTATCAAAAAGGTGGGAAAAGATGCTGTGTGGAACATTTGGCAAGCTTCAACTGGATAATCAGAATGTATCTCTTTAGGATCTACTGGGAGCAAGGACATTACCAACCACAGGAGATAACTATAAAGCATTCCAAAAGTAGCTCCTGTCATGCCCTGTCCTGGGTTCTGCTAGAGGCACAGTGTTTGACCATGGAGCATCAAGTGACCAAGTGACCAGTGCCCCGTCATGAGCTGCATCGGGTCACACCCACAAAGACATAGGCAAGTGAGCCCAGAAGAAATTCATCATAAAACAGAAATGGTGCATGTAGGTTTAGGCAAGAACAAATCCAGCAGGTACAAGTAAGCTACATGAGCAGGTGGCCCAGACCACATATCTTCTATTATTGTGTTGGCACCTCTCCCCCAACTCATCCCTCTAGCCACATTAGCTTAAAGTTGATGCTGCTTATTGGCTGGGAGTCCAACAGGGTGATCAACTGGAGCCCTCACTGTGGCTTCTCCGTGTGGCTTGGGCTTCTCATAGCCTCATGGCTTATTCCAAGAGGGATGATCCCAAGTGCAAACATTCCAGGCCTAGCTGCAAGGTTTCTTATGACCCAGCCTTGAAAGTCATGTGGTATCACTTCGGTAGCACACTACTAACCACAGAAGTCACAGACCTGGCCCAGATTCAGGAGGAGGGGAAATAGACTTTCCCTCTCAATGACATCTCAGTGGGACCAGTAGCAAAAAAATCTGTAGCCATTTTAAATTTACCACAGGTGCTGTTTTCCAGGGCAGCATAGACAGCCTAAATCAATGACTATTATATGACACAGCTGTGTCTTCATTTGGTGTAAGGAATGGAAAATAGAGATGACACCACGTTCTCCATGGCTCTCTTCGACTCACTTGAAATTTCTGCTCTGGTCCCTGCAGTTTCATGCTGTACCTGTTAAGAGGTCCTGGCTTCCAGAAGGAAATTACTTCCACCAGTGGACATGGTAAGAGTCTCATTGAACTTTCAGCTATGGCTGCTGCTTGATCACTTGGTGCCAATAAACCATCCAGAAGAGAAAAGTCACAACCTGCAGGGAAAATTGACTCATTACCAGTGGGAGGTAGGCCTGCTGCCACACAGTGGACATAGGGAAGAATCTCTTTGGTGCTCAGTGATCCCAGTGCTATACTCAAATGAGACAAACTTAATGTAAAAAGCAAGTTGATCTGTGAAGTGGAAGGGATTAACTTTAATGAAGACTGTGGTGCTTTGCCAAGATCCTTTCTTTAGAGATGATTTACCCATAGCCTGGTGGCTGGTGGCTCCCAGGTGCACCCTGTTCTATCATCATTATTCACCATGTTGGTGGAGGAAGAATACCCAACCCCTTCAATCGCACAAGGTAGCTGAACACATGACACCTTGTGCTGGACAGATGTGATCAACAGCAGTTTATTAGTTACATATACCCACAGCCTGCCTGGGGAAGATGACGCCACACACCACGCAGGGCCACACGAGGGATGCACTCAAGAACAGAGTGGACCAGAGGGGCATGGAGGCAGGCTTTGTAGAAACAAGGGGGTGTGGTGGCCCCTGGTGCCTGTGGGAGGATGTTATTGGCTTGTTTGTTTCATGGAGTAGCAGGGGATGGAGACACGTGAGATTGGAGACTGATGGGGGACACTGGTCCAGCCAACGGGAACAAGCAAGGCAGGGAGCAGGGGAACTCATAGGGCTCCTTTGGGGCCTGGAAGCCTCAAAGATGGCAAAATAACACTTGAAATTGTTTCTTCTTCACATTTGCATCCACCTGTGTAGGTGTTTCCAGTATTCAAATCCATCCTAACTAAAGGAAGAATTGTCATTGCAATGAACGCATTCCATAGGTAAATTCTGAGGAGGGCATCCCCAAAATACAATGAACATTGTGTAGTCTCTTAAGGGAACTATAGTCAAATTAAAAAGCCTCAAAATCAAGAGGTGACTTTCTACCATGTCACTTTATAATCAGGAAGGAGATTTAGAAGGAAGAGAAAGATATACGCAGTAGACATAGAATAAAATAATTCATTAAAATCACCTTTATACATTCATTTATGAAGTTCAAAGTTACATGATAGACCGGTGTTGGCAAGTTTTTTTTTTTTAAATACAGAGCTAGATAGTAAATATTTTAGGCTTTGTGGGCCATATGGTCTCTGATGACTCAGCTCTGCTGTTGTGCAAAAGCAGCCATGGATAAATAGTAAACAAATGGGCATGGTTGTCCTTCAATAAGACTTTACCTACACAAGCCGGTGGCAGGCTGGGCTGGGCCCAATGGTGTAGTTTATCAACCCATGTCATAGAGCATCTGGCCTCAAAAACATATTTCTTAGGTTTGTATATTGCCTTATTTTCCAAGCTTCCCTTGAAATGATCAATTCGTGAGGTATCCAGGCAATATTCTCTCATTTTACAGACCAGAAAACTGAGGTACAGGAACTTTCCTGGGAAAAACTGTGATGAGTAGCAAGCCAAGACTAGAAATCAGATTTCCTGACTATCCTCTCCCACACCCTGACTGTTGCTCAACCCAGCTGATTCACTAGACTCTGGTCACCAATATCAAGTTTCTATCAGATGGGTCAATTTTACTTATTTATTTATTTAATAAAGATTAGCTAAGACATACTTATTTTTTTTATTTTAGTTAACAATAGCAAGGATTTTTGTCCTGATTAAAATATTAAATAATACTACCTTTTTAAAGTTTTTTTTTATTTCAATAGGTTTTTGGGGAACAGGTGGTGTTTGATTACATGAATAAGTTCTTTAGTGGTGATCTCTGAGTTTTTGGTGCACCCATCACCTGAACAGTGTACACTGTACCCAATGTGTAGTCTTTTATCCCTTGCCACCTCCCCCACCCTTTCTCCCGAGTCCCCAAAGTCCAATGTACCATTTTTATGCCTTTGTGTCCTTACAGTTTAGCTCCCACTTATGAGTGTGTATTAGTTTGTTCTCACACTGCTGATAAAGACATACCCATGACTGGGTAGTTTATAAAGGAAAGAGTTTAATTGACTCACAGTTCCACATGGCTGGGGAGGCCTCACAATCATGGAAGAAGGCGAGAGGCATGTCTTACATGGTGGCAGGCAAGAGAGAATGAGAACCAAGTGAAAGGGGTTTCCCCTTATAAAACTGTCAGATCTTGTGAGACTTATTCACTACCATGAGAACATTATGGGGGAAACAGCCTCCATAATTCAATTATCTCCAACCAGGTCCCTCCCACAACACATGGAAATTATGGGAGCTGCAATTCAAGATGAGATTTTGGTGGGGACACAGCCAAACCATATCAGAGTGAAAACATATGATGTTTGGTTTTCCAGTCCTGAGTTACTTCACTTAGAATAATAGTCTCCACTTCCATCCAGGTTGCTGCAAATGCCATTATTTCATTCCTTTTTATGGCTGAGTAGTATTCCATGGTGTGTGTGTATGTGTGTGTGTGTGTGTGTGTGTGTGTGTGTGTGTGTGTGTGTGTATATATATATATATATATATATATATATATATATATATATATATATATAAAAAACATTTTATTTATCCACTCGTTGATTGATGGGCATTTGGGCTGGTTGCATATTTTTGCAATTGCAAATTGTGCTGCTAGAAACATGCATGTGCAAGTATCTTTTTCATATAATGACTTCTTTTCCTCTGGGTTGGAACCTAGTAGTGGGATTGCTGGATCAACAGTAGATCTACTTTAAGTTCTTTAAGGAATCTTCACACTGTTTTTCATCGTGGTTGTACTAGTTTATGTTCCCACCAACAGTGTAAAAGTGTTCTTTTTTCACCACATCCATGCCAACATCTATTATTTTTTGATTTTTTGATTTTTTGATTATGGCCATTCTTGCAGGAGTGAGGTGGTATTGCATTGTCGTTTTGATTTACATTTCCCTGAATAATTAGTGATGTTGAGCATTTTTTCATATATTTGTTGGCCATTTGTATATTTTCTTTTGAGAACTGTCTATTCATGTCCTTAGTACACTTTTTGGTGGGATTGTTGGTTTTATTCTTGCTGATTTGTTTGAGTTCTTTTCAGATTCTGGATATTAGTTCTTTGTTGGATATATAGATTGTGAAGATTCTCTCCCACTCTGTGGGTTGTCTCTTAACTCTGCTGATTATTTCTTTTGCTGTGCAGAAGCTTTTTAGTTAATTAAGTCCCGTCTATTTATCTTTGTTTTTGTTGCATTTGCTTTTGGGTTCTTGGTCATGAAGTCTTTGCCTAAGCCAATGTCTAGAAGAGTTTTTCTGATGTTATCTTCTAGAATCTTTAGAGTTTTAGGTCTTAGATTTAAGTCTTTGATCGATCTTGAGTTTATTTTTGTATAAGGTGAGAGATGGGGATCTAGTTTTATTCTTCTACATGTAGCTTGCCAATTTTTCCAGCATCATTTATTGAATAGGGTGTCCTTTCCCCACTTTGTGTTTTTGTTTGCTTTGTCAAAGATCAGTTGGCTGTAAGTATTTGGCTTAATTTCTGGGTTCTCTATCTGTTACATTGGTGTATGTGCCTATTTTTATACCAGTACCATGCTGTTTTGCTGACTGTGGTCTTATAGTACATGTTGAAGTCAGTTAATGTGATGCTTCCAGATTTGTTCTTTTTGCTTAGTCTTGCTTTGGCTATGTGGGCTCCTTTTTGGTTTCATATGAATTTTAAGATTGCTTTTTTCAGTTCTGTGAAGAATGATGATGGTATTTTGATGGGAATTGCACTGAGTTCGTAGATTGCTTTTGGCAATCTGGTCATTTTCACAATATTGATTCTATATCTATGAGCATGGGGTGTATTTCCATTGGTTTGTGTCGTCGATGATTTCTTTCAGCAGTGTTTTGTAGCTTTCCTTGTAGAGGTCTTTCATGTCCTTGGTTAGGTATATTACTAAGTATTTTATTTTTTTTCAGCTATTGTGAAAGGAGTTGATTTCTTGATTTGATTCTCAGCTTGGTTGCTGTTGGTGTATAGCAGAGCTACTGATTTGTGTACATTAATTTTGTATCCTAAAACTTTTCTGAATTTATTTGCCAGTTCTAGGAGCTTTTTGGATGAGTCTTTAGAGTTTTCTAAGTATATGATCATATCATCAGCAAACAGAGACAGTTTGACTTCCTGTTTACTGATTTGGATGACCTTTATTTCTTTCTCTTGTCGGATTGCTTTGGCTAGGACTTCAGATGTGTCCATTTTAAATAATAGGGAAAAAACAGAAAAGAAAATTAGATAACTACTTTATAGCAAGCTGGATTTTATTCATTGTTAGATGGACCTTTTCTTTGTATTTGCTTCAGTCTGTGAATCCTGTTTCTTCCATGTTGCCCTCAGGTGCCTTTCAATGCTTTTCCTTTCCTTTTTCTTCATCCCCTTTGCTTTTGTGACCATGTTTAATATGCACCCGGCTGCACACTTCAGTGAGAGGCCTCCACCCCCATAGTTTGGGGATGCCTCACTGCTTTTGATAAGTTTCCAAAGCATTCCACTCGTTTCTCCTTTCTGCATCTTAATTTTCCACAGACCTCTGGGAGAATATTTTTGTTAATTGAGGGGGCAGATGTGACATTTCCTATTCTCTCTTATTTCTTCTCGGGTTGCAGAGTAATTGTTGACTAGCTATGTAATTGAACAAAAACTTTTATCACAATTCTCTCATGCATTTTGACTTGGAAAAAAGTTCAAATCTCAGGCAAGATTATAAAATTAGTGAACATTGTATATAGCACTTTTTAAAGGGGATCACTTTTCAGAGTTCTCTTTTTAAATTTTTACTTCACTTCCATCTTGCTGGGCCCATATCTCTGTCTTCTAGGGAGATGATAATGGAATCTCATGAAAAGGCAAGGGACATGATTTGTTGGGCCTCCCGTGATTTGTTGTGCTTGTATATTGAAAGTTGCTACAATGAAAAGGCAATAACTAATCCTGTATGTATTTATTCAACAAATATTCATAGACCATCTATTATGTGCTAGATACCAGAGATATAAATGTGATAATATTGGACACAATTTTGGAATAAAATTAGACTCATTTTCTGTCTGGGAGGAGATTTAGACATGGAAAGGGCAATTTCAATGAAGGGTAAAACATATTAAAATACAGAAACAACAGAATATTATGGTAACACAGAGAAGGGCATTGAAATCAGATGTGGGAGAGTCATCAGAGACTTCTTAGAGTACTCAACAAGGTCATGGAGAGAAGGGGAGAAAAAGTCCAGGGAAGAATAAAATATATTTAGGGAAATGAAAAATGGTCAGTTCAGTATGATTGAAGAGAATGATATAATAAAATTAAGTTGTACAGGTGGACAGGCCAGATCTTGAAGGGCGTTGGAAACCACATGAGCATATTATCTTTTCACTTTATCTTATGATCAATGGAACATCGTTGAAGAGTGTTAATCAGGGTAGTGGCAGAATCTGATTTGCATTTTTACCCACAGGTGGAGGAGAGTGGAGGGGAGTAAGATTAGAAGCAAGGATACCAGTAGGATGCAGTTACAGCAATCCAGGTGGCTGTGCTACAATTGTAATAACATCAGATCTGTGCTGGGTAAGTATGGAAAGTGAGGTCATCTTGTTCACATCTGTATCCAACAGTGCCTCACCCATTGGGATGCTCTATTGACATTTTGTGAAGGAGTGAATAAATGCATAAGTGGATTTATTGTGGGATCTGGCCAGCAGCCCACAATGCAGTGGGGCTCTTTCTTTGTTCCCAGGTGGATCGGCAAGTTGAGAAATAATAGACACGCACAAGATAGTGAAAGCTGGGTCCAGGGTGGTCGCTGCCTTTGGTCCCACGGTGCCAACAATGTACTGGATATACCAGCATTTATTATTAAGTTTAGTGAGGGCGGGGGTAGGTTAGTGAGAGATTTAGGGTCATTTGATTATGAGGTGAGATGGTCACATGGGGATGAAGTAATTCTTTAACATAACATCTGTATGCAGTAGTACAGTATACAGAGATAAGAATTTACAATATAGTGTGTGCATCAGTAATTTCTAACAGAGCCTTCAAATGGAAACACAGTCTTTCCATAACCTATGATTAGCAAGATATTAATCAGCAGTTAACAGTTGCAGCAAAAGCTGGTTACAAGCAATCCATAGAAACAGGACGTGAAGCTAGACAACCGGTTAGACCAGAAATTCTCAGAAGGGAGTATGCCTTAACCCTAAAGAGGCCTAGAAGAGCTGTGGCAAGATGAGGGCGTTTATAGCCCTATCTTATCCATGTGAACAGTTGCCCGTCATGCATCCATTTATAGGCTCTCCACAAGGGTCGCATTCCATTCCCACAGCTATGAACATCTGCTTTTCTGGGATAGGAGTGTTGGTAATGTGAAACCTCCCTGACTGCACATCTGTTCATAGGCTCTCTGCAGGGGAAAGCACATCACACGCCGTTGGCTCATTCTGGCAGCCCAACCTGGCATTGTCTTTACACAATCCTGCATGCAATTTTGTATTTACAATAATCAGGAGCATTTTATCTTTTATTCTGTAGCAATAGTTTCAGGGGGTCTTCCTACATGGATTCACATAGAAGTGGTCAGTTAAGAACAGTATTTCCCCCGGTGGGTTCCACAGAACAGCATGTTATGTGAAAGAAAACAGGCTGAGGTCAAATGAATCAGGGAAACAACAGGCAAAACATTACTAAACTTTCTGTTTAGGACAATCTCTCAAGGCCTTTAACAAGCTAATATGTCATGTTGTTCTCCAAAATGCAGGAGTAGCAAGCAAGGTGAACTGGGCTTCTGTTTGCCCCTCCAGACCCACTCTCCACCACTCTCCACCCTGCTCTGTTCCCTGGCAGCCTAGTCTTTTCTGATTCCATAACAAGCCCCCTTTGCTCTCCTTTCCAGTTGGGTTTGGACAGTGGGGACTTAGTAGGTAAGAGGGAAAGAGTAGAGAATAGTCAAGTATTTCCTCCCCTGGCTCCCGCCTGTGGGTGGCTGACAGCTGATTGTATACCTTGACTGACAGCCACAGCTGTTGTCAGGGCCTTCTTTGCACAGCCTTCTGTCTGTTTTGGTGACTGCTCACTCCCCTTGCAGCAAACTGCAAATAGCACCCACAGACTGCACTATCTTGTGATTTTCATGTATGTGGTCTACACCTTATGGCACTCATTTCAAAATACCTAATTTGACCATTCTCTCTGTTTCCTGCTGGGACCTTGACTAATTCACAGTTTCTCAAACTTCATTGATTGTAGAGTCATTTTTCCATGAAG